>NC_000001.11:206820950-206972465 GCF_000001405.40 Homo sapiens
TACCTAGGAGCCTTCCCTGATATCCCCTGCCCCCACACAACTTGGTTTGCATTACTGTCTCTCTACTGTGTTCCACAGCATGCTTTATTTCCCCTTTTCAAAGCACTTATACCACTGTAATGGATTATCCTCTTTGTTTGCCTGTCTTTCCCATGAGATCCTCAGCTCTTCAGGGGATGAAATTGTTGTCATTTTGCATTCCCAGACCATAGCATAGTGTGTAAGATACAGTGGGTGCTCAATCTGTTGAATCAATGAGTGATATGATGATGACAGGTTCTGGAAGTTAAAATGATACTATCGAAATACCAGATTAGCAACAGGACCTGGCACCTGTAAAGAGCCACAGTGAAGCAGGTTCTACTGGACATAAGATTAAATGAGTTCAAGTCCATAAAGCATTTGGAGCACTGTCTCACAAATAGTAGGCGCCATATAAGCATTTGTTGTTGCTATTATCATTGTTACGATGCTTGCGGCTTTCAGGTGTAGAGCTGTCTTTGCCAAAGGTTCTTTTTGCTCTCCCATTAGGGTTTTTCTTTAACAGGGACCTTGGACAACGTTGGCACTTCCTCCTCCTCTGGGAGTTCCCTGGGAGGAATCCTCTGGAAGAGAAAGTGTGTTCAAGACTAACAGAGTCTGCATGTGTTTTTCTCTTGGCAAAGGCTCAGTCCCTGCTCTAGCACCATTAGCTTCGCTCCTATTGTCTTCCACTGCAGCAGGTGGATGCAGGGATCACCACCTGCCAGGTGCTTCTAAGCTTCCCCAGGCACAGCAGGGCTAAGAAAAGGGAGAAGTGAGTTCAGGGACAGAGTGCTCTGGTATGCCGCCACCCTGGGATCAACAGCTCCCTTTCCCCCAGGATGTCCTTTGTGGGAAGGCTGGAAGGAAAGCCGCCCACTGAAATGAAAACTCCTCACACTTTGGGAAAGGGTTTGGTCTGCACCTTAATTTGGAAGAGGTGTCCAGGTTCTTCAAGTTCCCACAGGCCTTGTTCTTGCCCTGCCTTTCTGGGGTAGTCAGAAGCTGACAAGTCCCAGAGTTCTCTCGTCATGTCCGTGCCCCACCGTGCCTGGAATCTGGAGGAACTTGAGCACGGCAGTTTTAGCCTGAACTGTGATTAATATTTGGTGCTGGGAAAACTGGGGGTTCTGGGCTAAGCCTGAAATTATTCTGGGCAAGGGGGAAAGGGGAATTTCCAAGATGCCCTCGAGAGAATGAGCGGGGCAGGGTCCTGAGTAAGAGGCTTGCATGAAGGGGGAAATGGAGAAGGGCGATAGGGAAACACCCCTGGGTAGAAGGGCTAAGAAGCAAGATAAGTGGGAATGGCAGCTGCAGGGCCCACGAAGAGCCATAGCTATGGGCAAAGTTGGCACAAGAATCCTGGAGGAGAATGCTGGAGGCTGGTGGGTGATATGGAGGAAAGAATGGGGTTGAGATGTTCTACTTGTGCTCCTCTTCCATGTCTCAGGTTAAACCTCACTTCCTTAGAGAGGCCTTTCCTGATCCTCATAACCCTCATTCCATTCCGGAGTCAGTCTCCATGGGTCTGGATCTCAGCTCCTCACTTACAAGCTCGACAACCTTGTCCAAGTGTTTAAACTCTTTTAACTTCAGTTTTATCAATCTGTGTTATGTGGCTAAAGATAGTACCTTCTCACAAGGTTGTAAGGATTAAATAAATTAATATATTGAAAATGCTTAGCACAGAGCCCAGGTCTTGACTGGTAAGAGTGATCATGACATCTGTTTAATGGCCTGTCTCTCCTACTACTGTGAGGTCTGTGGGGCCGGGAATATGCTGTCCACTTTGGTGTCCCCCAACGCTTCGGTGTCCCCCAAACCTAGTGCAGGGCCTGGCTTGTTGTAGGGTCCCAGCTGAATGAATGTGTAAGTGACCAGGGTGGGCTCAGGTGGTTGCAGCCTTGTGGGGGTTAGGGTCTAGGGTTATATTTCACTGCATGGATCCTTTCTTTTTCTTTCTTTTTTTTTTGTTTGAAATGAAGTCTCACTCTGTTGCCTGGGCTGGAGTATAGTGGTGTGATCTCGGCTCACTGCAGCCTCCACCTCCTAGGTTCCAGTGATTTTCCTGTCTCAGCCTCCTGAGTAGCTGGGACTAAAGGCATGTGCCACCATGCCTGGCTAATTTTTGTATTTGTAGTAGAGACGGGGTTTCTCCATGTTGGCCAGGCTGGTCTCAAAACCCTGACCTCAAGTGATCCACTAGCCTCGGCATCCCAAAGTGCTGGGAGGCATATGCCACCGCACCTGGCCTAAACATTTTTTTTCTAGGTGATCCAAGTTAGAAAAGACACCAAGATGGCTGGGTGTGGTGGCTCACTCCTGTAATCCCAGCACTTTGGGAGGCTGAGGTGGGCGGATCACGAGGTCAGGAGATTGAGACCATCCTGGCAAACATGGTGAAACCCCTTCTCTACTAAAAATACAAAAAAAATTAGCTGGGCGTGGTGGCGTGCGCCTGCAGTCCCAGCTACTCGGGTTGCTGAGGCAGGAGAAAGGTGTGAACCCGGGAGGTGGAGATTGCAGTGAGCCGAGATCATGCCACTGCACTCTAACCTGGTGACAGCGAGACTCCGTCTAAAAAAAAAAAAAGACACCAAGACACCAAGATTATTCCTGGATAGAATAACTGTGGATGACCATTTTTCTTTCCTTCTAGTTTTTTATTCCATTATCTATTTTATTTTTGTGTTCTCTATAATTTTTCCATACCAAAGCAAGGATTACTTTTCTAATGGCTGAGAAAAGAAAATGTTATTAAACAAACATAACACTCTCCGTTGTCTGGAGGTGAGGAGCCATCACTGAAGGATAAGAATGGGTAAGAAATGCAGGGAATAAACAGTGTGTGATGGGAAGGCTTCTCAGCCTTCCAAGGCCTGTTGGAGGTTTCACAGGATGTTCCTGCCAAGGGAATTCTCAAAGCTCAAAGCCATGGGGGTGGAGGCCCTGCTTCCCTCCGTCTTAAGAAGGATGTGACTTGGGCAAGTTTCAGTTTTAGCAGGATCGCCGTGTCTTCAGAGGGAAAGAATGTTCTCAACCTTGAATCTTTTGCCAAGAAATGGTCCTGAGTGTTTTGAGGGGCAAAACTGCTGCTCCTGCTGCTCACTCAAGCACTGTTACTTGATATCAGCGGATTATTTCTCTCCAGAGGCTTGGGTCCCCTGGATGGAGGGCAACCCTAGCTGTTGCCCCAGGGGGAAGGCAGGGAGGAGGCTCGGACGGAGTTAAGAAGCCTAGGTAGGCTGAGTTCTAGCTCTAGCTGGCTGCATGATCCTTCAATCATTGAGCCTTAGCCTTCCCATCTAAAGAAAGGAGGACATCTTCCCTATTGATATGGAAGATCTTCCCTGTTGACATGGAATTCCGAGTGTGAAGTAATGCTATATGTGAAAAATGCCCTGGAGATCATAAAGTGATGGACAGATGCTGTTTGTGAATGAGAAGAGTATTGGTGGAATAGAGGAAAACATAGACTCTCTTCAGTGAGTTAAGTTTATGTTTCTTGCATCTGCCGATTCAAAAACATGTATGGCATTTCCTCCTTCTTGTAGGAGCTTCCTGTATGTTATACTGTCTGTTCCTCATTTGCCACATGTTATAGATGAGAAAACTGGGGCTAAGGGAAGATAGACTGACCTGGTTTTCCCAAGATCACAGAGCTAGTAAGAGTAGGGGAGGAATTATCACCCCCATTTCTCCGGATGAGGAAACTGAGGCACAGAGAGATTAATTCATTTGTCTGAAGTTATAGAGCCAGCAAGTGTGAAAGTTATACCTGAGTCTAAAAGAAAAAAATCTTTTTTTTGAGATGGAGTTTTGTTCTTGTTGCCCAGGCTGGAGTGCAATGGCACGATCTCGGCTCACTGCAACCTCTGCCTCCTGGGTTCAAGCGATTATCCTGCCTTAGCCTCCTGGGATTACAGGCGCCCATCACCACACCCTGCTAATTTTCTGTATTTTTAGTAGAGATGGGGTTTCACTGTGTTGGCCAGGCTGTTCTCGAACTCCTGACCTCAGGCAATCTGTCCACCTCGGCCTCCCAAAGTGCTGGGATTATAGGCATGAGCCACTGCGCCAGGCCCCCTGAATCCAAATCTTTTAATGTTACTAATTTAGGGTTCATGGACTCTTGAGGGGTTCTCAGAAAGACATCAGAAGGAAAGTTTGCATATGTGTACATTTTTGTGGGGAGAGGGATTCCATATATTGAATCAACTTCTCAAATGAATCAGAAATCTTGGACCTGTAGTTGGTGCATAAGTAACTCTTTCTGTATTTAAACATTGATCATACTACAAGAAAAGCTTTAGTGATGGCAAGTTACTCTGGCACTTAAAATGTGCTTAATTGTTACTGTGCTTCAAGGCTGTGAGTCAAAATGATTGAATTGCCTTTGATGCAGCTGGCCAACTTGAATTTTTCTTTCTCCTGGCTTAATAACTCTTCAATATCTATAAGATGTCAAGATCAAAATTTTTCCTTCTGATACCACATTTTGTTTAATCTTCAACTTAGGTGCAAACCCTAGACGAAAAAAGACTGTAATTCAACTCTTCAGTAGCCAGGATTGCCTGTCTCCAACCCCTTCTGAATCTAGTTATGTTGGATACTGGGAGAGAAGCATGTAGACTCTTTGGGCCTGACCTTTCTGATTTTTCTCTGGAAGGGCTTCACTGAAGGGGCACAGAAGAATAATGTTTCTACAGCATAGATCCAGGGGCTCCTCCCCACCAGGAACCCAGCTTAGCAGGCAGGCTGTTCATGTGGAACTCGCCAAAACCCCGTGCAGGTGGATGTGCGGAAACACCAAAGAACTGCACGATTGTCCCTGCCTTTGGAAGGTCTCATTCCCTGTCATTCCTTCATTCAGTCAACAAACTTGGAGGACCCAGTATGTGCTACATTTTGAGGATAAAGTGATGAACAACACAGACAAGATCCCTGCCCTTGTGGAGTCTATATTCAAACCAGAGCTTGACCTTCAAACTGAGAGACCAACTTAAAAATGGGGCCATCTGGCCACTAACTGTTATACACCCTCTGCTTGGGACACACGGTCTCAGCCCTCCTCCACCTTCAAGTCTGATAGGAGAGAGATTTCAGAGTGGCCCAAACAATCTAAAGTAAAAGTGAACAGAGTTCAAAATAAGTCCTCAAGGGCTGAGGGGAGACCAAGGGGAAGATAATGCGGTGAGGGCACTGAGAGAGGGATTCCTAGAGGAATTGTACCTTGCTTTGAATTTTAGCCCTAAGCTGCAAATCCTAGCTAACTTCTAAGTAGATGCTGACAGCTGGCTTCTATTTGGTCTGCCATATTGAATGGCTTTGTCCCCAGGACATGGTGGAGATTTAGACAACCCAGGGCAGAAAATCCTCTAGGAAAGGAAGTCTGAACTACACCGCTGGCTTTCTGAAAGGACAGGATTTGAGGAGCTGGGATGGTAGTAGGGGAGAGGGCAGCTGGGTGGGGTTTCTTCCAGGAAACAATGTGGATGCAAGATGCAGTCCTCGTCCCTGGCCTGCCCTTACCGCTTTAGTATTTCAGATGAGTCAGCTCTCACTCTGCCACCTGCTTTCTGTAACTCTGCAGCAGGCCAGCAGCCTCCAGTCCACCCTCTCCTCCTCCCAGGGCTCTGGGGTGAAGCCCTCCCCAGGAACTCCCTGGCTCCCAGTACCCATGGGAGAAGCTCTTTTCAACTGACATGATTTATTTTAACAATAAGAGGAAAAAACCACATCCGATTTCCACAGAATTAGAGTTCCTCCTGACACGCCTGGACTTGCCAGTTGGGAAGGACACTCTCAAGCCATCCTCTATGCCATTTGCCGTTCTGCTGTTCCTTTGCTTGGAGGGAAGAGATGCCTGTTTCTATAGGGAGGAAGTTTGAAGTGAGAAGAGAGGACAAAGATTCTGTGAATGGAAAGAGCACTGGACTGAGAGTTCAGGGATGTGGCCTCCGGTCCCAGCTCCACCACTACTCAGTTGTCTGACGAAGGAAACAGAAAGTTGTGATACAATGTGGGTGACACATTGCCTAGAAAGAAGTGCCGTTGTGATACGCTTATGTTGGTGGGATGGGGGAAAGAAATAACAGGTTTGTATGGAGTGTTATGAAAGAATTAAATCTTAACCTTCCATTGGGGTAAGCTGATGGAAACAACCATAGCAAAGGACAGACTGAATATTTTTTTATTCTCTTTATAGAAAATAACAGTAAAAAAAAGTATTGACATAGGAGAAGGAAACAAAAAGTTGTCAGGAGTTAATGAATAGAAATATTATTTTTTTCTGGATTTTATGGTGTTTGTGTTATTTGTTAGCTTTTATGAATTTGTAATTTGTTGTAATTTCTTTCTAAATAAGTATTTACTTTTGTCTCTAATTTTGTCCATCTATTTTTGAATTCAATTTTCAAATTCAAAACGCTTCTCTCGGCCGGGCACGGTGGCTCACGCCTGTAATCCCAGCACTTTGGGAGGTCGAGGAGGGCGGATCACGAGGTCAGGAGATCGAGACCATCCTGGCTAACACAGTGAAACCCCGTCTCTACTAAAAATACAAAAAATTAGCCAGGCGAGGTGGTGGGCGCCTGTAGTCCCAGCTACTCGGGAGGCTGAGGCAGGAGAATGGCATGAACCCCGGGGGGCGGAGCCTGCAGTGAGCCGAGATCGTGCCACTGCACTCCAGCCTGGGTGACAGCGAGACTCCGTCTCAAAAAACAAAACAAAACAAAACAAAAAAAACAAAAAGAACAAAATGCTTCTCTCTGGGCCTCAGCTGTTCCCTCATCTGTAAATGAGAAGGGTGGGCCAGATGCTCTTTCATGTCTGGTGTAATGAAGCCCTGGAGTGGGCTGCCTATGACTGCACGCAGCTGTACCACACCCCACCTGGGTGTCTTTGGGTGAAGTACTTGGTAGCTCCAAGTCTCATCTTCCTTATCCAAAATGATGGACACAAAAATAGTATTGACCTCATGGAATAGGTGTGAAGATGAAAACAGACAATGCATATGGATGCTTCACACAGACCCTGGGGTGGCAAATGTGCTCAGTACTTGTTAGTTATTAGTGTGAGTCTACTCTTTTAGTCTATGAATTTTGTTAGAGGAACTCCTGCTTACCAGGCCTCTGGTTTAATAAAACATGACTGGAGTGACACATTTCTAAGCTCACCACCACTTATAATTACAGAAGATTGATGGCTATATAGGACATCTCCCACCAAGCCTGCAGAATGTCCAGATGTCCCAAGTACAGCCCACTTTACTCAGAGATAACGTCAATGAGCAGACTCAAGTTGAAGGATTAATGGTCACTAGAGCACCAACAGCCCCTACCTTTAGTGAGCACATCTGCACATTCCAAGTTTAATCATAGCTCCTTATAGTTTCTTATAAGCAGAGATGTTCCTAAAGGACAGGGGTTCCTCCTCCTGCTTTCTGGGCATGCCCTACTCTCTAATGGAGTAGTTTCCAATAAATTTGCTTCTTTGTCTGTGCTCCAATTCTTTCCTGTGTGAGATCTAAGAACCCACTCTTGGGGTCTAGATTGGGATCCTCTTTTCTGGCAACATCTTGAGTATGTGACCATGAGAAATGTTAGAAATTGGAGTGAAAGGTACGTAAACATTTGAACCCAATACCATTCTCTGGTTCTCCCAGAGGCACAGTAAAAAAAAGTATTGACATAGAAGAAGGAAACAAAAAGTTGTCAGGAGTTAAAGAATAAAGATTTTTTTTTCTGGATTTTGTGGTGTTTGTGGTATTTGTTAGCTTTTATGATTTGTAATTTGTTGTAATTTCTCTTTCTAAATAAACGTTTACTTTTGTCTCTAATTTTGTATTTCTATTTTTGAATTCAATTTATTTTCCCGCAGACAGGGTCTCACTCTGTTGCCCAGGCTGGAGTGCAATGGTGAAATTATAGCAGACTGCAGTCTTCAACTCCTGACCTCAAGCAATTGTCCTGCCTCCTCAACTTCCTGACTACAGGTGTGCATGAGGACTACAGGCAGGCATGTGCCAACACATGCAGCTTTTTTTTTTTTTTTTTTTCAGAGATGTGGTCTCGCTTTGTTGCCTACACTGGTCTCAAACTCTTGGCCTCAAGGGATCCTCCCACCTCGGCTTCCCAAAGTGCAGAGATTACAGGTGTGAGCCACTGTGCCCAGCCTGAATTCAATTTCTTAAAAGGACTCTCCCCACCCAATTGTATGAGCTATGCATGGCCAGATTTAGCAAATACAAATACAAGACACCCAGTTAACTTGGAATTTCAGGTAGATAAACACTGAGATGTTTTCATTGAAATTCAAAGTTAAATATGCATCTTGTATCCAGCGGGAATATAAAAAAGGAAAGTAGTGGTCAACTCAACCAGGGTTGAAGTGGGGAGGAGGAGGGGAGTGGGGAGAGGAAAGGAAGAGGGGAGAAGTTTCACAAAGGAAGTCACACTGGAGCTAGGTTTTGAACGTTAGGTTGGTGTTTACAAGGTAGGTGAGGCAGCGGGGCTTTCTAGGTGAGATGAGCCTGTGAGGTGTGGGAGATCTGCAAGAGAGATGAGGCGGAAAATGTAGGCGAAGTCCAGGCTGTGATGGGTCTGGATGCTGTGGGGAGCAGATTTCCTGCTACTGGGAGGCCCCAGGGCGTTATGCTGGGAGTTTTAGACTGGAGAGTTCCAAGACTGGGTTTGCATTTTAAAAAGTCCACCTACCTAGGGAAGAGTGGATTGTTCAGGAGAGGAATGGGGAGGCATCAGTTGGGCTCTTTCCATTACTATCCCTCCATCCCATCACCACTGGGGCTCTTTCATAACATTTGAACCACAGAGCCCATTGACATAAGATGTGTCACCCAGGGTCTGAGGCTTTGAACAGACTTTGACCAAGATCCCTGTGGGCAAAAAAGGAGGAGGAGAAGGAAGTACAGGCTGAAGTGGCATAGGTGCCCAATGTGGATTTGTGCTTCCCTCCCCAGGAGCACAGGTGTGGCCAGTTTGGATTTCCTTAAGTCCTCAGCTTCCTGGGTAATGACAAGTCAGAACAGCATGGCTTGGGAGAGTTATGTCACCTCCTCTGCTGAATGGGCTTGAGGTTCCTCACAAGTCTAGGTTCCTTTCCACTCTACCTAATCCTAGAGTGAAAGGGCAGCATGGGGTTAGAAAGGGCGCTGAGCCAGAGGTAAGGAGATAGAGGTTTGAGAGCAGTTGTGCCACTTCCTTGCGGTGCCATGGAGGGCTGGTTCACTTCTCTATTTCTTCATCACTGTAATGTGAACATTGAACTGAGTTATCTCTGTTATATTTTCTGACTCTCATTTCCAAATATCACAATAAAGGAGAGCCAACCCCACTGAAAATGAGGAATAAAAGAGAGAGAAAAGATAAAAAAACAAAAACAAAACAAAGGAGAAACTTCTTTAGGTTTAAATTTCCCAGTTCTTTTTCTCACCTTTTTTTTTGTTTTATTTTCAAAGCTATACAGAAGTTCACACATATCATTATGATCTAGATATATTTACCAAGACATTTAAACATTTATGTATTCTGTTTTAAAATCCCTATTAGCTTCCCAAATAAAATACCCATCCATCATTATCAGTTTTATATATATATATATATTTGAGATGGAGTCTTGCTCTGTTGCCCAGGCTGGAGTGCAGTGGTGCGGTCTCGGCTCACTGCAAGCTCTGCCTCCCGGGTTCATGCCATTCTCCCGCCTCTGCCTGCCGAGTAGCTGGAATTACAGGTACTGCCACCACGCCAGGCTAATTTTTTGTATTTTTAGTAGAGACGGGGTTTCACCACATTGGCTAGGATGGTCTCGATCTCCTGACCTCGTGATCCGCCCGCCTTGGCCTCCCAAAGTGCTGGGATTACAGGCGTGAGCCACCGCTCCTGGCCTACGTTTCTTTTTTTACAAATTCGTTCTCAGTCATACTTCTTCGTGTTTTATAGTCCTCATAATGATAGGTTCTTTCTCAAATCTAACCAAAATTACTCATATAGATCTAATACATTTCATCTAAATCCTGCAATGGGCCACACATTGCTCAAGTCCATGGAGCCTCATTCCCACAGAAGGCAATAGGCATGGTACCCTCTGGAATTATGCAATTTTTGTATGCGCTCAAGACTCAGTACTTAGGAATGGCCAGGATCCACTCTTTTAAGGGAAGGAAATTGCCCTGGCATCATTATGAAAAATTCATGAGGTTGGAGTGCATGTTAGGCGGGGATAAGGAATTGGAAGACATGAGAGAGTTGTGTCCAGAACATGTCAAACTCAAAGCATTCTCCATTCTGGCTCGCCAATCTTCCCTCACATTCTTTCTGCTTCCCTACTCAACAAGTGGAAAATTGAGCTCTGATATCTCAATGGTGGGTCCATTGGTCCCAGAAGTCCTAATTCTAAGGCAGATGCAACCTTGTGTCTGGAGACCAGATTCATAATTGAATTGCAATCCTGGGAAAGATGCCATTCTATCTCAATCTATATTCTTATTTTTGATATTAGGGGTCAGGCAGCAAGGCTTAAGATGAAGAGAACTTATTTCTTATTGTTCCCCCTTCTTCCTGATTTAGGAGCTCTAAAGGGAATTATAAAATTGATAATAAATGTCATTTTCAAGTTGCTTATTATGCGCCAGGTACTGTGCTGAGGAATTATGTGTAATCACTTCATCTTCATGCTGCGCCTACATGGTGAACGTGCAGTAGGCATGATGTGTACCATTTTACAGATGAGTAAACAGGCACTGAGATTAAGTGGCTTGCCTTCAGTCTGACAGCCATAGAAAGCAGAGCCAGTCAACCCAGCTTCCAGTACCAGCGATTATGGTACACCACATGCTGGAAGAGGAGCTATAAACACATCACTTATTTCCCTTCCCCTGCAAGCTTCCTGATATGACATATCTGCCCTGAAATGAAAGCTAGGTCAGAACATATAGCCTGAGCACAAGGGGTGAATGTGGGGTGAGACTCAGCATGGACAGTGTTGCAAATCCCCTTACATGTGCAGCTGGGCTCTGAGCTGCTATTCTCACATGTGCAGAGGGACTCCGAGCCAGGCAGCTCAGGCCCTGCTGGGAAAACAGCACCCACCTCCCTCCATCCCACCCCTCTGGGGGAAACAAGGGTGGGAGTAGGGGAGATTCCCGAGGTCAAGAGTAGCTCTTTGCACCCTCTCCAAAGGAGCAGAAAGATGTCCATTAGCTCCTAACAAAGGTGTCTTCTCCTTTTCCAGGTGCCTGGCACACAGGATAGAAATACATAATATTTATTAAGGAGTACTTACTATGACACAGGTCCTTTAGCTCATTCAAATCCTCACAGTTTTATTTTACCTATTTTATGGAGCTTCAGAAAGGCTTTAAGTAGCTTTTCCAGTGTCTATAGACCTAATGCATTTCATCCAGACTCTGCAATAGGGCCACATATTGCTCAACTCCATGGAACCTCATTCCCATAGAAGGCAATAGGCATGGTAACCTTTCTGAGCAAGGCAGAGAGGGTACCTGCCTGGCCATACCCTCGTCTTATTTCCTTAATTGTTTTCTTTCTTCTTTAAGATATAGCTGATTAATCATTATTATGAAATGCCTCTTTCTTCTGGGTCTTGACATGCAGCTTCTAGGAAAAATGATAAACTCCCCATCTCCATGCAAATGAGATTTTTTTTGCAATTCTATGTTCATACAGAAAAATCCAAGTTAGGTCACTTTCCTGAGAGCTGTGGCATGCTACCAAGAAGAGAAGGGAGATAAGGAAGAAGAGAAGAGAGTGAACCAGGGTTTAAATCCAGAACTACGTTGTGAACCACTATAGTCTACCACTTCCCTCAACACTTACCATTTTATTATGTCCAAGATGCTGGACCACAAGACATCAAGTCCCTGGGGTTTCTTTCCCTTGCACCTGTCCCGTAAAAGGCCCTGATCTTTCCTGTCCCTTTTCCTTCTCTGCCGGTGCCCTGTGGCCCTCTCTGTCTCCCAAATCTGGCTGCAGGAACAGGGTTTGTACCAGCCCAGTGGGGTCTCATAATTGCACCTCATCCCAAGGTCACTTCATTTGGTTAAAAATAAGCTCCATTTATTCTGGGAGTCTGTGTTTGGGGATGTCAAAAGACAAAATTACAACACATTTAGTTTAAAGATCTTAATTGGCTTTTATTTGCAATTCTAGAATCAGGCAACATCCTATTTTATAAAAATAGAATGAGTGGTCCCATGAGCTGACAGAGGAGAGTGGTTTTGTGGGCAGACAACTGCTAGAGGAAGCAGAAACAGAGAACAAAAAGCAAACTGGTCATTTAAAAGTTACTTTCCTTGTAAAGGTTAGAGCAGAGGAGACTTCCTTATACGCTGGCTAAAACTGGCTTGTTTCAGGATTTGGCTATTATCTTTCTCTCTCCTGATTTCTCAGAAGGTTAGATAAACAGTTTAGTTTCAGCTTGGTGGTGTGGAACTTCATTCAGCATGAGCGACTCCATTTAGGTTTGGCCTATTGGCCTAGTGCAGTAACTCAGTCCAAACCAATTACCCCCTGGAAATTTTATTTAATGGGAAGAAACTGTTTATACCCTATCTTTTCATTGCCCCAAACCTGATCCCTAGAGAACTTCTTGGTAAAGAGTTTATGTAAAAAGGTAATTTAGTTAGAGAGTCTTCTAGCCCAAGAATAAGGATTTCAGGTCCTGGCTCTGCCACTGGCTGATCTTAAACCTCTCTTCTTTCCAGTCTCATTTTCTCTCTCTCTGCATTAATCAAGAATGAGAGAACCCTCCAGGGGACAAGATGAAGGGGAAATAGATGATGTGCAAAGAAATCCTTGCTTTATGAGGGGAAAAAGTGTTCCTCATGAAGTTCAACAAAATGATGCAGGTAAAGCAGTTAGCTAGCACCTGGCACATGGCAGACACTCATAGCTGCCTAAGGCATTGGAGAACTGGATCGTGCTGCAGCCAGAGGCACCTGCAGAGCCTCATGGGCTGGCTGCTGCAGGGTGTGGCTGATTGAGAGTGCTTTTGTGAGTTGGCCTGCAGGGTACACTTGGTAACGTGCCACAGCTCTCAGGAAAGTGACCTAAGTTGGATTTTTCTGCATGGACATAGAATTGCAAAAAATTCTCATTTGCATGGAGATGGGGAGTTTATTTTTCCTAGAAGCTGCATGTCAAGACCCAGAAGAAAGAGGCATTTCATAATAATGATTAATCAGCTATATCTTAAAGAAGAAAGAAAACAATTAAGGAAATACAATACTAAGAAAACAAGGGGAAAAAACAATCTCCCCAAGGTGGATCCACCCAGCAAACCTTGACAGCATTTCCTCTTATCCACCTGAATAAAAATGACCAGCCCTTTCCAAATGGCAGAGAGCACTGAGAGGAGACACAAGGAGCAGCCCGCAAGCACCAAGTGAGAGGTGAGGCTCACGCTGTCCGTCATCAGGGGCTCCTATGCACCGCCATCCTAGCCCTCCTCCTTCACTGCCGCAGGGAGGTGACCTGTTACCATTGTGTATGGCTATGATGTTCCAGATGCTGGGCATTTGGTAGAATGGGAAGGGGTACTCTATAGAAAAGGTGAATTTTCTAGTATCTTATTTTCAACGAGAAGAGATAGAGAGTGGGAAAGAAGGAGTGAAGGAAGGAAAGGTCAAGGATTTAATGTCTTTACTATTGCTTTTTTGTTCCAAGAACTGTGTTGGGCACTTTATAATGTGTTATCATTGTTTAATCCTTTGCAATGTGAAATATCTTTTTAAATGTAAGGAGCATCACTGGTTCAGAAATGGGTTCCTGTCTGTCTGGTGTCAGGGGAGCTACTGGGATCCCAGGCTATGATGTCAGAGGGAAACAATGTTGTAAGTGGGGTGGAGTAGCAGTAAAGACAGCCAGCTCAGGGACTGGCCCGCCTTCTCTCAAACCCTGGCTTGGGCAGGTTACTTCATTTTTTTGGTAAAATGGGAACAGAAACAGAGCCTACTTCATAGGGTGGTTGTGAGCATTAAATGAGAAAATTACGTAAAATTCTTGGGACAGTGCCCAATGCACATGGCACGCAGGATAAATGTTACTTACTACTAATATCTGAATTAGCCAAGATGTCTGGAATTGCCTCACCAAGCTAAGGGAGACATCTTTCTCCTCCACAAAATGCGCAAGTCTCCTGGCATGGGATGAGCAGGCAATATCTGCCTGCTTCTGAGAGTTACCTTGTCAGAAGAAAAACTGCACTCTCTTTCTTGGCTTTCTAGAAGCACCCCAGTAGCGTTCTGAGGAGACAGAGCTCTGGGGGACTCTCTACAAACTTCCCTGGCAATGGGGCCCATCCTTGTTTAGCCAGAAAGAGAGGTTGATAAAAGAGGAAAGGAGCTCTTTGGCTTAATGCCTGCCACGTGGTAAGGTCTTGACATACACCTGTCTATTCCCTGGGAATGATGCCCAGTTAAGGAGAGACAGGCAAAAATGGTTTCTAAACAGGATTTGCTGTTTCTGGCTTTCCAGAGGAGCTGGGAATCCTGAGGAAGGCATGGGGAGTGGGGGCAGCTGGGGTTCACACTCACACGTGTGAGTTACAGCAGCTTTAACTATAGCTCTACAGTCCTCGCAGCTGGCTCCCTGTGTCTTATGCCCTCCTCTCCTCCACGGCCACACACGATACACTTACCTTGGCACACACAGCTGTAAATGGGAGATCTCAGTGGGCACCATGCAAAGTGCATAGCAGAGGGCTGCTCTCGTCACATGTGTTGTCATAAGACATGCGTTAAGGCTAAGCTCTATTTATAAGCTTGTGAAATGTGGGTGAAAACAGAGATAACCCCATAAGCTGTACCATTATATTTTACGCACTTTTCTCTGTGCGCATTATGTGGCACAATACAAAGTGGTTAAATGAAGAGGCAGCAAGAAAGACAGAGGCAAGAAGGGTAAGAGAATGAGAAGCGGTGGCAAACCTCTCAGGGTCTGGCCCTGGCTATGAAGCAGCTAGCTGCAAACATGCCCCTCATACCCTTTGGCTCAGCAGGTGACCGACGGGAAGTTGCCAAGCTGCCCTCTACCTTTGGCTTCTTCCCCTAGCTCCTTATTGTGGCTAATTAGTTCTTGAAGATGCCTTGTGCCTCCCTTTCCCATCTCTCCAGAAGGTGAAATCTCCACAGCTGGCTTCAAACAAATGATTTTAAGCAGATACACTCTTGAGGTTTATAATAAAAGGGTGTTACTTATTTCAGGGGCAAACATCAAAAACCAAGTGTGTTTTTATGGTTTTTCACATCTGTTGCCGAATTCCTAGGGCATCTTACCAACCCTGCTTTTCCTATTTAATTTATTAAAAACAATGCTTTTCACCCCTGTTGACAAAGTAGGCTGTGTTGAGTCATAGGAGAGTGATATGCATACAAGTATGCTTCCTGGGACTTAAGAGAGTGGTGTATCGTGTTTTCTGGGGTGGAGGTGGGGGCATGGGGTGAGGGTGGGGAAGAACTCATATCCAGTTGACTCAAGAAAACCAGAGGAGATACATACCCCTGTAACTCCTCAAGGCTGAAGTGTTTAGTGTTGTTTTCTTGTATTCCTCCCGGCTTGCCTTCGAGGCTGGAAAGGAGCGTCAATCAGGGGTCTTCTTTTTCATTGCCCTCCACTCTTGGCTGGACAGCTGACTTCCTCTCCTTTCTGCAGGCATGAAGTTACAGTGTGTTTCCCTTTGGCTCCTGGGTACAATACTGATATTGTGCTCAGTAGACAACCACGGTCTCAGGAGATGTCTGATTTCCACAGACATGCACCATATAGAAGAGAGTTTCCAAGAAATCAAAAGAGCCATCGTGAGTATGGGTTGGTGTAAAGGTGTGGATGACGGAGTATCCCTCCCCTTACATCTTAGCTTGAAAATGAGTTCCTTCTCATTGCCTTTTGCATCTCAGAAGAACATAGGATACCGATTGCTTATGTCTGTTCTTATGTTTCCCTCCACAGCAAGCTAAGGACACCTTCCCAAATGTCACTATCCTGTCCACATTGGAGACTCTGCAGATCATTAAGGTATTGGCCTGTGTCTGCTTTTTCCAGTATTTTTATCTTCATGTCTAAATGGCTCTGGGCTGAGAAAGAAATCCCTACCTTGTCCCCTTCTCTTTCCTAATCTCCAATGTACTCTAAATGCACCAGGCTTCTTTGTCAGATGATGTGTTAGGGCACGCTAGTGTCCCAGGGATATGTAACCCCTGGGAGGAATTAAAGAAGTGCTGCTTCCTAGAGAGTGATTGGGGGTGCCAGGTGCTCAGAGGGGACAGGATTTCTGTGGCTTGGGGGTAATTTTGGAAGGTCCCATGGAGGTAGCTAAGAAAACAAACGGTGACTTAACCCGAGGAGGTTGTAGATCAGTGAATAAGAGGGAGGAAGGAATTTGGGCAGGATAAGATAATGGGTGTAAGATCAGTGAAGGTCGGACATAGAGGTGACCAGGTTTGTGACCCAAAGGACATATAAGTGAGTGGTGGGAGATGAAGTGAAAAAATACCCTGGAGTCATTTTATAAAGGTCCCTGGAGCCAGGCTGAGCCTCAGGCTTATAATACAGACAATAGGCTGGGTGCAGTGGCTTATGCCTGTAATTTCAGCATTTTGGGAGGCTGAGGCTGGTAGGATTGCTTGAGATCGGGGCTTGAGACCAGCCAGAGCAACATAGCATGACCTCGTCTCTACAAAACAAAACAAAACAATTATCAGGGCATAGTGGCATGCAACTCTATTCCCAGCTACTTGGGCGGCTGAGATGGGAGGATTGCTTGAGCCTGGGAGGTCAAAGCTGCAGTGAGCCATGATTGTGTCAATGCACTCCAGCCTGGGTGCCAGATTGAGACACCCAAAAAGAATAAAAGAATGTGTGTTAGGGCATGCTAGTGTCCCAAGGACTTGGAATCCCTGGGAGGAATTAAAGAAGTGCCGCTTCCTAGAGAGTGATTGGGAGCTCCCAGTGCTCAGAGGGGATTAGGATTTCTGTGGCTTAGGGGTAATTTTGGAAGGCCCCATGGGGGTATAAAAGAATAAAAGAAAATAATAGCAGCAATAGAGAGTCAATGAGATTTTTGAGCCCAAAGTTATATGATCATAAATTGTTTTAGAAAGACAATCTGGTGCTGTTCTTACAATGGACAACGTGAGGCAGGAAAGCCAGTGACAAGATCTGCCCAATCATCTAGACAGGAGGTGATGAAAGTATGTTACAAAATAGCTGGCTTACCAGGTGATCATTCATTTTACAAAAAGGCCCATGAGAGATGCCTTTAAAAGAGAGCTCCTCCAGTCCTGGGAAGTATTCTAGACAGATCCAGTTTTGGGAGGGATTTTGTATGACAGAGTGTAAGGTATATTTGTATTGAGTTACTTTTTTCTCAGGTTTCTCTGCATACGTGAGAGACACACACACACACCTCTTCATAATTCTTCTAAGCAGTGATTTATTTGTGGTGAAGAGATGTAGCCACTTACTAAATAATATTCTAGCCAACTGTATTATAGACACAGAAGATATGACAGCTAGAAGGGACCCAAAAGACCATCTATTCCAAAACCATCATTTTCAAATGAGGACAGTGAGACCTTGGGAGGGAGCATGACTAGTTAGTGGCAGAGTTAGGAACAGACCCCCAAATATATGCCCCCATCTTCAGATTCTTTCTCCTCTCAAGGTTGGGAAGTAGCTCATGTGGAATAAGAAAAGGAGTCAATAAGGATTCAGGTTCCTTCCCTTCCTTTCCCTTCCCTTCCCTTCCCTTCCCTTCCCTTCCCTTCCCTTCCCTTCCCTTCCCTTCCCTTCCTCTCTCCTTCCCTTCCTTTCTCACTCCCACCTTCCTTTTTTCTGCAGTGTTCCTTTTTCTAGTACCACAGTCTTTGATAGTGCAGAGGGGTGTAACATTTTGCCCTTCTGGTTAAGAGAATCAGCAACAGTGAAGGAAGAGAAGGGTTTTTGTGTTGCCATCTAGGAAAAGCTGACACTGGGGCCAAGGAGGCTTTGCTTCTTGAATGAAGATGGGTGTGCTGTCCCACCGTTAACCACTCCCTGCTTAGACTGAACAGTTAATCTTCTGCAGAGTAACTGGCTCTCAGGGCAGATGGCGGGCAAACTTCTAGAAGGAAACTGTCTAGCCAACTTCACTGGGCTGTGCCTGGGAATTTAGAGACTATTTCTTTGGGACATCTGCACTCTGCAGGCTGCAGACCTACCCAAATATGCCCATTTCTGCAGCTGTCGGTCTCTCTTGCAAATCTCAGCCTCATTCCAATGACCTTTCTGGTTTTAAAAGGACAGACTACAGGAGAGCTGAGCAGTGTGGTCCAGAGTAAGGTGGCCAGAATGAATGCAATGTGATTACAGTTGGAGGAATGCATACCTAGCAGGATGACTGGCATGCAACAGCCCTTGCATGTTGGCAGATGGGAGACATAACAGAGAGGCAACTTCAGCCCCTGTAGTGTAGGGAAGTTCTTTTCAAGAAAGCTGCTCAGCCATCAGTCCTTTTAAAAAGGAGGCAACTGGTTCCTGGAAAGATTTCAGTGGAAGTTAGTGATGACACGCTAGGGATACTGCAGAGAGAATTAGCCTATGATGGATTCTGGGCCCCATCCTTAGTAAATGTATTTCTCGGCCATACAGAAAAAGGGGAGAACTGGAATCTCTTCTCACTATTTTTGTCATAAGTAGCTTTGATGGGAATAAGAGAGGATGAACACTCTGAGACCATTACGAATTTTTCCAAAATGACTTTTAGTTCTCTCATGTGTCGCTGCCCCTACTCAAATGGACTGCCCTGGTCTCCAACATAATGAGAGAAGAGGCCTCTAGTGTTTCCCTAATTTGTGTTTGTAGCCCTTAGATGTGTGCTGCGTGACCAAGAACCTCCTGGCGTTCTACGTGGACAGGGTGTTCAAGGATCATCAGGAGCCAAACCCCAAAATCTTGAGAAAAATCAGCAGCATTGCCAACTCTTTCCTCTACATGCAGAAAACTCTGCGGCAATGTGTGAGTCACTGGGTCAGAATTCCAGCATCTGCTCCCTGTCTGCCCAAGGAGAGGCCAGGAAGTGCTGGCCCCCATCGGCCTCCTGATATGGTGCTTGGAGTCAAAGGAAATTCTCTGCGCACGTCCACAGGGAGAACTGTGGAGAACCTCTCCCAGTGGCCACTGCTTCCCCAGGGCTCCCTGCCTGCTGACAACTCCTCAGATGGTCTCCTCCTAGATAACCCTCCTGGGGTGACCAACTTATGTCAACATATTCCTTAGTAAGAGGCATGGCAAGGACTCCAGTTCTACTGTAAGCATACCCCTGGTTTCTTTATTTCTGGCCCTTTGGTGTCTTTACATCAATAAACCTCTGGGTAGTTCCTTGGTATGGCCTATCCCTAAAGGTTACTTAGAAATTCATTGCGATCTATTTAAATCCAACATCAGAAACAAAACCAACACAAACCAACAAAAACTTAGACCAGGAGAGAACCTGGGCTCTAGCCCCATTCCTGCTAATGATTTCCTGTGAGACTTTGTGGCAAGTGACTTCACCTCTCTGTGCCTCGGATTCTAAAATTGTTAGAAGAGTTGATGGCCCCTGTCCTACTTGCATTAATATGATAATGGACTCAAATAAATTCACCTAACCAGTTGTTTAATTAACAATTCGTTAAAATTAATTATCTAATTAATAATTAACATTTAACAAATGTTTGTTGAGTGCCTACCCTGTGGGATGCAGCACTCAGAGTGGTGATAAGACAGATATGGTGCCTGCTTTCCTAGTGCTGACAGTCTGATGTGTTCTAAATGCAGAAAAAACAAAAGGCGTGGGCAGATGCAGGTGACTCTACAGACAAGCTCTATTCTTCCGTGGCTGCTCCCACCTGAGTTTACTCATCTGACTCTCACTGTGGGAGGGAGGAGAAATGTCACTTCTCATGTGGGGAGGCAGGAGTAAGAGAGGGCCAGAGTGGAAATGTCCTCTGATAGGAGCTTCCTCCACTTTATCACAGCAGGAACAGAGGCAGTGTCACTGCAGGCAGGAAGCCACCAATGCCACCAGAGTCATCCATGACAACTATGATCAGGTAAGATCTGGGAAGAGGTTGGGGAAGATGGAAGATGAGAGGTAGATCAGGAGGGTGCCAGGCCTTCAGCCTCCTCTCCACTTAAATTCATGCATTCACTCTATAAGCAGCCATTGTGGGCAGGCCTCAATTCTCTGTGTCTGTAAAGAGAGTTTTGATTTTACCTCATTTGCTAATCTCCTGGGCTCCCCATCTCCATCATTCCTCCACCATTTTCTCATACCCTCATATATCAAGCCTGACCTGTATGATTTGGGGAAAGCACCCACTGCTTAAGATGGGATGACACAGAGGGAGCAAAGATCCCCCATGAAATGTGAGCTGTTACGCCTGAAACGTGTTACCTGCACGCCGTCACTGCGATCACTACCTGCCCCCCCATATTGTGTGTAGTGATGAAGACATGGTACTTCTCATGTTGATGTTGGTGTAAAATGCACATCTCACGTGGAGGTAGAGGAAGAAGCAGTGTTTCTCATGAGCATCAGTTCAAGATCTTGTTAAAATGCAGATTCTGGCTCAGCAGGGCTGGGATGAGCCTGAGTTTCTGCATTTAGATCACACTGTCAAATGATACCAATGCTTTGAAGAGCAAGAGTTAGGGAGTCTGTTATGGGCTCTGCTTCTTTGTGGAGAGACTCTGTAAGATAATGTTATAGAAATAGCTAAGAGTTACATGGTTCTTACTATAAGCCAGGTATTGCTCTAGGCACACAACAAGTATTAACACACATTCGTCCTTCCCAACAATGCTATGAGTCATTATCTGCATTGGATACATTAAGAAACTGAGGCTCGAGCAGGTAAAGTAACTAAACTAAGTTCACACTGCAACTGCACGGCAGAGGTAGGATTCAATTCCACGCTGGCTGGCTCTACAGGACGCGCTAAAAGCATGAACTCAGTCTGCTGAGGAAGGAGGTGGAATAAGGCAGGAGACTTGGGTTTCATTTCCAGCTCTGTTACTAACTGGCTGTGTGACATTGGGTAGGACACTTGCTCTAGGGGCTTTAGTGCTCTAATATGTCAAATGAGGACAACATGCTCTCCCTACCCACTGTCCAGCACCTCAGGGACAAAGATGTTCTGGGATAACAGAAGCACTAAAGCAAGCTGGTGTGGAGAAGAAAATCAGCGGAACTGGCCAGTAAGGCAGATTTTTTTTTCCTGTGAAAAACAGAGGAAAAAAAAACCTGAGGGAAAAGAATGAAGAATTTTAAAGTTCTGTTTATAAGGAGCTGACATAATTTAACTACTTGTTTGTGGGGAAAAAAATTGGTTGCCTGCGAGGAAAATAATATTGAGTCTGTATGTTATGCAAATATATTTCGTGACAAAAAAACAAAAACAGAAACAAAACCTTGTGGGAACCAGCATATGAAGAAAGTGACTTGAAAACCATTACACAGTCTAGAAAGGTGGGTTCTTACATTGATCTCTGATTTCAGCTGGAGGTCCACGCTGCTGCCATTAAATCCCTGGGAGAGCTCGACGTCTTTCTAGCCTGGATTAATAAGAATCATGAAGTAATGTTCTCAGCTTGATGACAAGGAACCTGTATAGTGATCCAGGGATGAACACCCCCTGTGCGGTTTACTGTGGGAGACAGCCCACCTTGAAGGGGAAGGAGATGGGGAAGGCCCCTTGCAGCTGAAAGTCCCACTGGCTGGCCTCAGGCTGTCTTATTCCGCTTGAAAATAGCCAAAAAGTCTACTGTGGTATTTGTAATAAACTCTATCTGCTGAAAGGGCCTGCAGGCCATCCTGGGAGTAAAGGGCTGCCTTCCCATCTAATTTATTGTAAAGTCATATAGTCCATGTCTGTGATGTGAGCCAAGTGATATCCTGTAGTACACATTGTACTGAGTGGTTTTTCTGAATAAATTCCATATTTTACCTATGAATGGAAGGATCTTTTCATTCAGGGAGAGTCAGTCAAGACTGAGGACAGGGTGTTTCTGACAGAGGGATGGTTGTCATGGTGACAAAGCTGAACAAGCACAGACACAAGTAAGTAGAGAGGCCACTGGGTAGAGAGGCTGAAAAGGGTACCAACATCTAGATGGACACTGCATAGATGATTCAGAGCACAAATGTGTATCTTTCAGATTTCATATCACATGCTTTAATGGAAAGAACAAGACCTCTGAAGTCCAATTGATCTGGTTCCAATCCTATGTGACTTTGAACAAAGCACTTAACGTTTCTAAGACTCAGTGTCCTCTGTTGTAAAGTGGAGATATTAACACCAGTCCTGTAGTGTTGCTGTGAGCATCGAGTAAGGAAAAGGTCTCTCATGACCTCAGCAG
Organism: Homo sapiens; assembly: GCF_000001405.40. Classification (NCBI taxonomy): domain Eukaryota; kingdom Metazoa; phylum Chordata; class Mammalia; order Primates; family Hominidae; genus Homo; species Homo sapiens. The sequence goes on from NC_000001.11 coordinate 206,843,387, forward strand.
GGTGGGAGACAGCACGGTGCAATATAAAGACTGCCGACTCAGGGGCCACCTTCTGGTTCTAAGGCATCTCCTGCCATGAATTTCCCAGGGCAGGTCAGTACATTTCTTTGGTCCTTAGTTGTTAGTATTGTGGATACTGACCCTTCTGTACTACCTGCTCCATATAATTATTTATTTATTTATGGAGACAGGGTCTCACTTTGTCACCCAGGCTGGAGCACAGTGGCATGGTCATAGCTCACTGTAGTCTCAAACTCCTAGCTCAATCAATCCTCCCTCCTCGGCCTCCCAAAGTTCTGGCATTACAGACTTAAGCCACCACACCTGCCTCTATAATCATTTAAAAGCTGGAGTCATTATGAGGGCTTTGACAACCCTGATATCTGCACACACACCCCTCCTGGCTGTTTTCCCTAACTGTGTCCCTGCTCCTTCCCCAGGCTCACTGTGACCCAGCCATAGTTGTTTGCTCTGTGTTTCGCAAACACACCAGGCATGTTCTCACCATACAGTGTATGCACTTTGTGTACATGCACACTCATAAACTGAGGTAGGGTTAAAAAATAAAACAAACCCTCCACACATTATGCGTTAATGGGATTCATACGCTATTAGGGAGCAGGGTTGTTTGCTGAGGACCTAACTTTTCCAAAGTGACCTTGGATGGGCACCCACCCTGAGCAGGCTGGGTGATGGCAGTTATAGCATTTCTGATCTTTTATCACTGCCCTGGGATGTGCTTCCCCTGGACACCTGCATGGCTTGCACCTCCACGTCTTTCAGACCTTCACTCCAAAGGTCTCGTATTGGAGGATAACCCCCCATTTCCACCTTCAGCACACTTTGTACCCCTTTCCTGTTTATCTAGCATCCTATTTTGTTTATTAGCTGCTCCTCCACATGAATGTAAGCTTCATGAGTGTAGGGATGGTTTAGTTTGTTCACTGCCTGGCACTTAGTAGGTGTTAAATTCACAATTCACCTAGATTATTTATTCAAGAAATGTGAATAACCACAAACATGTATATAGTGCTTCCTATATGCCAGCCGATAGTCTAAGAAATACACTTCTTGTAATATAATATAATATAAATACATATATATATATTTCATTTAATTCTCACAACAATCCTATTGTAGGTTTTTAGAATGAAATAAAATGAAAAAGGCCACCTCATTGATTGTTAGCAGTATGGATAATTAAACCCTAAGAAGGAAACTAGGCACAGAGAGCTTAAGTAACTTACCCTAGGCCACATATCGCATAAGTAGAAGAGCTGAGCTTCCAATCCAGGCAGCCACATTCCAGAATGAACTATAATGTCCACAATAATGTACATATGTTGAGTTCATCATGTGCCAGGCACCAAGGTGAGAACTTAACTTATGGCTCCTCCTTTACTCCTCACGATAGTTCTCTAAGGTACGATTATAATTATAATGTGAATAACTCTGCACTTTGGGAGGCTGAGGTGGGTGGATCACTAGGTCAGGAGTTCGAGACCAGCCAGGTCAACACGGTGAAACTCCGTCTCTACTAAAAATAGAAAAAATAGCCAGGCATGGTGGCGGGCACCTATAATCCCAGCTACTGGGGAGGCTGAGGCAAGAGAATTGCTTGAACTCGGGTGGCAGAGGTTGCAGTGAGCTGAGATTGCTTCATTGCACTCCAGCCTGGGTGACAGAGCTAGACTCTGTCTCAAAAAAAAAAAAAAATTGTCTGGAGATTAGTGAGGTTTGACAATACACCTAAGGCCATGTTTCTAGTTGTACAACAGAGATTCAAACTCCGGGTGTCCTACTCCAAAGCCTGAGCCCTCCATCATGATGGTTTGTGGCTTGTGCATCTTGCTCATGTGACAAGAAGCCCACAAGAGAAGGTGATTTACTGGCATAATGACCTGCACCTGTAGGAAATATTGTTATTATCAATGGTAGTAGAAGTACTAGTAGGAGAGGAGGAGGAGCAGGAGGAAGATAATTGAAGAAGAGCTCATCCTTTCTGAAATGGCTAGTATCTTGCTTAAAACTCTCCTAGGTCTCTTGTTTGCTTCCTTTCCCCGTCTACTTTTCCTTTCTCTTTTTTCAGACTTGAAGAATATGTCCCAATGCTTTTTGAGTTCGCAGTAGTTCTGGCATAGTGGGGTGTGTGTGTGTGTGTGTGCGTGTGTGTTTGTGTGTGTTTCTTCACAGAGCTGGTGCTTAAGAAATACATGCTAAGAAGCCAAGAGTAACATTATCTCCCAAACCATGCTGAGTCCTCTGTCAGCCCCTAGTAGGTACCCTTGAAAAATCTGGAGCTCACCTCCACTGCTAAGGTGCAAGGGGAGGGAATCCATGTCACGCACCAGGGCCATGACAGGTACTTTACACATAGGACCTCATTCAAGCCTCAGAGGAAGCCAAGGGGGTTGGAGTTCTTATCCTCACACGGTCAGTGAAGGCATCTCAGGCTCAGGGAGGTGGGGGAGCTTGCCCAAGTCCACAAAGCTTTGGGATGGCAGATCCAGAAAATGAATCCAGGCCCCATCTTCCTGGCTTTGGTGCCCTCTCCTTTTGCTGCTAGGGGAGTTCCTTTTATCCTGGACAAGACTGTATAACCTAGGGCCCAGGTTACTATGTTGAATGCCAGCAATGAAGATAACTAAACCCAGATGCACCAAAAGGGGCTTGGACTAACTAGCCACAAGCTTCTGAAGTTACACATGAAATTATGGACATACACAGAGCAAAGGAGCAGAGGCCAACTTCTGAGTATGTCACGCAATGTTCCCGGCCCAGCTGAGGCCTGGGCTCCTCCTGGGGATGCTCTATCCTCCTTCCATCTTCCAGAGCAAATTGTTAATAGCCACACATGTTCATACTGCTGAAACTTCATACTGCTGAAAAAGGCACTGAAGAGGTAGGAAAAACAGTCTTGAATCGCTGATGCCACCCTGTCCCCAATCCCCCATCAGTGGCAGTGTGGTGCAGAGAGCAGTTTTGTGTTCTGGGGAGAGGGAGAGCGCAGCAATTGTGAGGCATTGAAATCAGTACTGTCCTTGTTACAGGAGAAAGCAAAACTGGAACACATTCACCTGATGGCCACCCATGGAGGGAGATTTAAACCAGCCCTACCCAGAGGGGAGTCACTGACCCCAACAGTCAGAACTTGAGTTTCTGCAAGCCTTACCACTGTGGGCTAAAGTGCTCTGGGGTTCCAAATAAACTTGAAATTCAGTCTAGGCCAGAAGGACTGCAACTCCTAGGCAAGTACTAGTGTTGAACTGGGCCCAGAGCCAGCAGACTAGGGTGTGAATGCACACAATATACTGAGACATCAACCAAGGCAGCTAAAGTGGTACCAGCATTACCCCTCCTCTAACCCCAGGCTGCACAGCTCATAGTTCAAAATAATGAGACTCCTTCCTTCCACTTCAGGAGTGGAGACAAAAGAGTAGGGAGGACTTTGTCTTGTATCTTGGATACCAGCTCAACCACAGAAGGATAGGGCACTGGTCAGTCATGAGGCCCCCTTTCCAGGCCCTAGCTCCCACTTGACATTTCTAGGCACGCCCTGGGCCAGAAGGGAACCAGTTGCCTAGAAGGGAAGCACCCAGTTTTGGCAGGATACATCACTGGCTAACTGAAGAGCCCTTGGGCCCTGAATAACCAGCAATGATATCCAGGTACTATGTCGACGGCCTTGGGTGAGACTCTGAGACTTGCTGGCTTCACATGAGACTCAGCACATTCCTAACTATGGTAGCTATGGGGTGAGACTTCTTCTGCTTGGGAAAAGTGGAGGGAAACGTAAAGGGGACTTTGTTTTGCACCTTAGGTACCAGCTTGGACACAATGGGGTACAGAACCAACTGGGCTCCTGGGGTCCCTGATTCTAGGACTTGGCTCTTGGATGGCATTTCTGAACCTGCCCTGGGGAACAGTGGAGCCCACAGCCATGAAGGGTGAGTCCCAGGCCTAGAAGCATTCACCACAAGCTGACTGAAGAGCCCTTGGGAACACTGGCAGTAGTGTGGCAGTACTCTCTGTGGGCCTGAAGTGGCGGTAGCCATCCGATGAGGCTCTCCTGCCTTTGGAAAGCGGTAGAAAGAGTGGGAAAGTCTACATCTTGTGATTTGAGTGCCAGCTCAGGTGCAGTACAATAAAGAACAGAACACAGGGTAGACTCCTGAGGTTTTTTACTCTAGTCTCTGACTCCTAGATAGCACCTCTGGGGGCCTGGGGGAACTTGTCACCCTGATAAGAAGACTCTAGTCTCTGACTCCCAGATAGCACCTCTGGGGGCCTGGGGGAACTTGTCACCCTGATAAGAATGACACAGGCCTGGCTGGCTTTGCTACCTGCTGATTGTAGGGCCCCAGGGCCTTGAGCAAACACAGGCAGTAGCTAGGCAATGGTTACAGAAGGCCTTGGGTGAGACCCAGTGCTGTGGTGGCTTCAGGTCTGACCCAGCACAGTCCTTGGTGGCCACAGGGGTGCTTGTGTCACTCCACCCTGAGCTCCAGGTGTCTCAAAACAGAGAGATAGACTGTTTGGGAGAAAGTAAGGGAAGAAAACAGGAATCTTTGCCTGGTAATCCAGAGAATTCTTCTGGATCTTGTCCAAGATTGTCAAGGTGGTACCTCTACAAGTCTGCAAGAATCACAGTGTTACTGGGCTTGGGGTGCCCCCTAAAGCAGATTGAGCTTAGATCACAACACTCAAGTCCTTTTGAACATCTGGAAAGCCTTCCTAAGAAGGACAGGTACAAACAAGCCCAGACTGTGAAGATTACAATACCTACCTCTTACAATTAATAGCTAAATGCCTAGACACAGAGAAACATCTACAAGCATCAAGATAATCTAGGAAAATATTACCTCACCTAGTGAAATAAATAAGGCACCAGGGACCAACCAATCCTGGAGAAACAGAGATATGTGACCTTTCAGGGAGAGAATTCAAAATAGCTGCGTTGAGAAAACCCAAAGAAATTCAAGATCACACAGAGAAGGAATTCAGAATTCTATCAGATAAATTTAACAGAGAGATTGAAATAATGAGAAAAATAAAGCAGAAATTCTGGAGCTGAAAAATGCAATTGGCATACTGAAGAATACGTCAGAGTTTGTTTTTCGTTTTTGGTTTTTTTTTTTTTTTTTTGACAGAGTCTCACTCTGTTGCCCAGGCTGGAGTGCAGTGGGCGATCTCGGCTCACTGCAAGCTCCGCCTCCCAGGTTCACGCCATTCTCCCACCTCAGCCTCCCCAGTAGCTGGGACTACAGGCACCTGCCACTGCTTCCGGCTAATTTTGTTTTTGTATTTTTAGTAGAGACGGGGTCTCACCATGTTAGCCAGGATGGTCTCAATCTCCTGACCTCGTGATCTGCCCGCCTCGGCCTCCCAAAGTGCTGGGATTACAGGCATGAGCCGCTGCGCCCGGCCACATCAGAGTTTTTTAATAGCAGAATTCAGCAAGCAGAAGACAGGCTATTTGAAAATATACAGCAAGAGGAGACAAAAGAAAAAGTAATAAAAAACAATGAAGCACGCCTACAGGATCTAGAAAATAACTTCAAAAGGGCAAATCTAAGAGTTATTGGCCTTAAAGAGGAAGTACAGGGGTAGGGGTAGAAAATTTATTGAAAGGAATAATAACAGAGAACTTCTCAAGCCCAGAGAAAGATATTAATATTGAAGTACAAGAAGTTTATAGAACACCAAGCAAATTTAACTCAAAGGAGACTACGTCAAGGCATTTAATAATCAAACTCCCAAAAGTCAAAGATAAAGAAAGGATCCTAAAAGCAGGAAGAAAAAAGAAACAACATACACCGTAGCTTCAATACATCTGGCAGCAGACTTTTCAGTGGAAACCTTGTAGGCCAAGAGAGAGTGGCATCATGACCTATTTAAAGTGCTGAAGTAAAAAACTTTTACTGTAGAATATCAGATCTAGTGAAAATAGCCTTCAAACATGAAAAAGAAATAAGGACTTTCCAAGACAAACAAAAGCTGAGGGATTTCATCAACACCAGACCTGTCCTGCAAGAGACGTTAAAGGGAGTGCTTTAATCAGAAAGAAAAGGATGTTAATAAGCAGTAAGGAATCATTTGAAAGTAAAAAACTCACTGGTAATAGTAAGTGCACAGAAAAATACAGAATATTATAACACTGTAACTGTGGTATGTAAACTACTTTTATCTTAAGTAGAAAGACTAAACAATGAAAAATTATGAAAAATAGTAACTTCCACTTGAGGAGTGGAACAAGTTTTCGAGACACAGACAGTACAATAAGATATAAATAGTAACAACAAAAAGTTAAAAAGTGTGGGAACAAAGTTAAGGCATAGAGTCTTTATTAGTTTTTTTTTTTTTGCTTGCTTTTTGTTTCCTTGTTTATGCAAACAGTGTTAAGTTGTTATCAAGTTAAATTAACGGACTATAAAATAGTATTTGCAAGCCTCATGGTAACCTCAAACCAAAAAACATACAATGGATACACACAGGCACAAAAATGAAAAGCAAGAAACTAAATTCTATCACCAGAGAAAATCGCTTTCACTAAAAGGAAGACAGGAAGGAAAGACAGAAGAAAGGGAAGATCACAAACCAGCCAGAAAACAAATCACAAAATGGCAGGAGTAAGTCCTTACTTATCAATAATAACATTGAATGTAAATGGACTAAATGCTCCAATCAAAAGACATAGAGTGACTGAATGGATTTTTTAAAAAAGACCCAACGATCTACTACCTACAAGAAACATATTTCATCTATTAAGACACACAGAGTGAAAATAAAGGGATGGACAAACATATTCCACGCAAATGGAAACCAAAAAAGAGCAGGAGTGGCTACAGTTAAATCAGACAAAATAGATTTCAAGACAAAAGCTGTAAGAAGAGACAAAGAAGGTCACTACATAATGAAAATGGGTCAATTCAGCAAGAGGATATAACAATTATAAATACATATGAACTTGATACTGGAGCACCCAGATATATAAAGCAAATATTAGAACAAAAGAGAGATAGACCCTGATACAATAAAAGCTGGAGACTTCAACAGCCCACTTTCAGCACTGAAAAGATCTTCCAGACAGAAAATCCACAAAGAAACTTAATCTGCACTATAGACCAAAAGAACCTAATAGATATTTACAGAACATTTCATCCAACTGCTGCAGAACACATTCTTTTCCTCATGAGGCACATGGCTCATTCTCAAGGATAGACCACATTTTAGGTCATAAAACAAGGCAAAACATTTTAAAAAATTTGAGATACCAAGCATCTTCTCTGACCACAATGGAATAAAACTAGAAACGAACAACAAGAGGAATTTTGGAAATTATACAAATACATGGAAATTAAACAATATGCTCCTGAATAACCAGCAGGTAAATGAAGACGGAAATTGAAAAATTTCTTGAAGCAAATGATAACAGAAACACAAGATGCCAAAACCTATGGGATACAGGAAAAGCAGTACTAAAAAGTAAGTTTATAGCTATAAGTGCCTACATGAAAAAAGAAGAGAAATGTCAACTAAATAACCTAACAATACATCTTAAACAACTTGAGAAGTAAGAGCAAACCTAATCCAAAATTAGTAGAAGGAAAGAAATAATAAAATCAGCGCAGAAATAAAAGAAATTGAAATGAAGAAAACAATACAAAAGATCAATGAAACAAAAAGTTGGTTTTTTGAAAAGTTAAACAAAGTGGACAAACCTTTAGCCAGACTAACTAGGAAAAAAGATTCAAATAAATAAAATCGGAGATGAAAAAGGAGACATTACAACTGACACCACAGAAATTCAAAGGATCATTAGTGGGTTACTACGAGCAACTATATGCCAACGAATTGGAAAATCTAGAAGAAATGAAAAAATGAAAAAAGTCCTAGACACATACAACCTATCAAGCTTGAAGACACATACAACCTATCAAGCTTTTGAAGAAATCCAAAACCTGAACAGACCAATAACAAGTAACAAGATTAAAGCTGTAAGAAAAAGTCTCCCAGTGGAAAAAAAAGCCCGGGACCCGATGGCTTCACTGCTGAATTCTACAAGCATTTAAAGAAGAACTAGTACCAATCCTACTCAAACTATTCTGAAAAATAGAGGAAGAGGGAATATTTCCAAACTCATTCTATGAGGCCAGTATTATCATTGGCTCATTCTCAAGGATAGACCATATGTTAGGTCACAAAACAAGTCAAAACATTTTTAAAAAAAGGAAATATCAAGCATCTTCTCTGACCACAATGGAATAAAACTAGAAACCAATAGCAAGAGGAATTTTGGAAATTATACAGATACATGGAAATTAAACAATACGCTCCTGAACCACAGAAATTCAAAGGATCATTAGTGGTTACTATGAACCACTAAAGACAAAACCAGGCAAAGACCTCTCAAAAAAAGAAAACTACAGGCCAATATCTCTGATAACTATTGATGCAAAAATCCTCAACAAAATACTGGCAAACCGAATTTCACAATACAGTGAGATCATTCATCATGACCAAGTGGGGTTTATCCCTGGCATGCAAGGATGTTTCAACATATGCAAATGAATCCATGTGATACATCATATCAACAGAATGAAGGATAAAAACCACGTGATTATTTCAATTGATGCTGAAAAAGGATTTGGTAAAATTTAACATCCCTTCATAAAAATCCCCAAAAAACTGGATATAGAAGGAACATACTTCAACATAATAAAAGCCATATAGGACATACTCACAGCGAGTATCATACTGAATGAGGAAAAACTGAAAGCCTTTCCCCTAAGATATGGAACACCATGAGGATGTCCACTTTCACCACTGTTATTAAATGTAGTACTTGAAGTGCTAGCTAGAGCAATCAGGCAAAAGAAAGAAATGAAGGGCATCCACATTGGAAAAGAAAAAGTCAAATTATTCTTGTTTACACATGACATAATCTTATATTTGGAAAAACCTAAAGACTCAACCAAAAACTATTAGAACTGATAAACACATTCAGTAAAGTGGCAGGATACAAAATTAACACACAAAAATCAGTTGCATTTCTCTATGCCAGTAGTGAACAATCTGAAAAATACATCAAGAAAGTAATCTCATTTACACTAGGCACAAATAAAATTAAATACCTAGGGATTAACAGAAGAGGTGAAAAGTCTCTATAATGACGATGATAAAACACTGATAAAAGAAATTGATGAGGACACCAAAAAATGGAAAGATATTCCATGTTCATGGATTGGAAGAACCAACATTGTTAAAATGTCCATACTACACAAAGCAATCTACAGATTCAATGGAATCCCTATCAAAATACAGACATTCTTCATAGAAATAGAAAAACTATCCCAAAATTTATATGGAACCACAAAAGACCCTGAATAGTCAAAGCTATCCTAAGCAAAAAGAACAAAACTGGAGGAATCATATTATCTGACTTTAAATTATATTTCAGAGCTATAGTAACCAAAACGGCATGGTACTGGCATAAAAACAGACATATACACCAATGGAATAGAATAGAGAACCCAGAAACAAATCTACACACTTACAGTGAACTCATTTTTGACAAAGGTGCCAAGAACATACACTGGGAAAAAGACAGTCTTTTCAATAAATGGTGCTTGGAAAACTGGATATCCATACGCAGAAGAAAGAAATGAGACCCCTACCTTTCACCATATACAAAATTCAAATCAAAATGGATTAAAGACTTAAATCTAAGACCCCAAACCATGAAACTACTACAATAAAACATTAGGGAAACTCTCCAGGACATTGGCCCAGGCAAAAATTTCTTGAGCAATATTTCACAAGCCCAGGTAACCAAAGCAAACATAGATGAATGGGATCACATCAAGTTTTTCTGTACAGCAAAGAATACAATCAACAAAGTGAAAAGGCAATCAACAGAATGAGAGAAAATATTTTAAAACCACCCATATGATGAGGGATTAATCATCAGAATATATAAGGAGCTCAAATAATTCTCTAGGAAAACATCTAATAACCCAATCAAAACATGGGCAAAAGATTTGAATAGACATTTCTCTAAAGAAGGCATACAAATGGCAAACAAGCATGTGAAAGGTGCTCAATGCCACTGATCATCAGAGAAATGCAAATCAAAACTACAACGAGATATCATGTCACTCCAGTTAAAAAGCCTTATATCTAAAAGACAGGCAATAATAAATGCTGGCAAAGATATGGAGAAAAGTGAACCCTCGTACACTGTTAGTGGGAATGTAAATTAGTACAACCACTACAGAGAACAGTTTGGAGGTTCCTCACAAAACTAAAAATAGAGCTACCATACAATCCAGCAATCCCACTGCTGGGTATGTACTCAAAGGAATGGAAACATTGTATTGAAGAGATGTCTGCACTCCCATGTTTGCTGTAGCTCTGTTCACAAAAGCCAAGATCTGGAAAATAACCTAAGTGTCTGTAAACAGATGAATGGATAAAGAAAATGTGGTACATAAACACAGTGGAATACTATTCAGCCATAAAAAAGAATGAGGTTCAGTCATTTGCAACAACATGAATGCAACTGGAGATCATTATGTTAAGTGAAATAAGCCAGGCACAGAAAGACAAATATCACATGTTCTCACTTATTTGTGTGACTGAAAAATCAAAACAATTGAACCCATGGAGATAGAGAGTAGAAGGATGGTTGCCAGAGGCTGAGAAGAGTAGTAGGGGGTTTGGGGGGAAGGGGGGATGGTTAATGGGTAAAAAAAAAAAAATAGAATGAATGGGACCTGGTGTTTGATGACCCAACAAGGTGACTATAGTCAATAGTAATTTGTTTGTACATTTTAGAATAACTAGAAGAGTATAACTGGACTGTTTGTAACATGGGAGATAAGTGCTTGAGGGGATGGATGCCCCAATTTTTATGGTGTGGTTGTCACACATTGTATGCCTGTGTCAAGGCATCTCATGTGCCCCATAAATATATACACCTGCTGTGTACTCACAAAAATTAAAAATTTTAATAAATGTTGATTGTCCTATTTAATTATTCTCAACTTTCCGATTTTATTTCCCATGTAACAGTGTTGTTTTAGGAGAGTTTTACTTGTACATTTATTTATTTACTTATAACTAGCAAGTATGAAGGCAAGAGACTCTGGCCCAGAGCAGCTGTACTTTCCTCTAGGTCTGCATCTCCAGATGGCTCTCTGCCATGTCCTGGCAATGGCTCTTGTAGTTTCTGCATGGCCAACCAGGCTCCAGGTAGCCTTCCTGGTTCTCCCTGCTACTCAGGTACCCCTCCCGCAGGCTGGTCCAGTGCTCTGTTCTTCCTCTGTCACAGTACTCATCAGTGTGGGACTCTTCCCTTGACTCTATCCAGACCCCTGCTTTGTTCAGCACTGATTGTCATGCCTAGAACAACCGTTAGCTCATAAGATGCACTCAATACTCCCCATGCAGCCATGAGCAATGCCTGACTGTGGGTGGCAGGGCTAAGCAATTATTCCTGGATGTAGGTCCACAGCAGGAGTCAGCATGTCACATTTGGCCAAGGACTTTGGGAGAGGATAAATTCTTAAAAAGTTGCTATGAGCTCAAGTTACATTGGTTTTTTTGTTTGTTTTTGTTTCTTAAGTAGCAGGTGAGATAAGACATTCCAGAGATAGAGTGTTCTTTTTTTTTTTTTTTTTTTGAAATGGAGTCTCACTCTGTGGACCAGGCTGGAGTGCACTGGTGTGATCTTGGCTCACTGCAAGCTCTGCCTCCCAGGTTCAAGCAATTCTCCTGCCTCAGCCTCCCGAGTAGCTGGGATTACAGGTGTGCACCACCACACCTGGCTAATTTTTGTATTTTTTTAGTAGAGATGGGGTTTCACCATGTTGGCCAGGCTGGTCTCGAACTCCTTCTGACCTCAGGTGATCTGCCTGCCTTGGCACCTCAAAGTGCTGGGATTACAGGTGTGAGCCACAGCACTCGGCCCAAGATAGAGCATTCTCTAGAGCAGCAGTCTCCAACATTTTTGGCACCAGTGACTGGTTTTGTGGAAGACAATTTTGCCACCAGGTCAAGGGTGGGGAGGGCGGATGGTTTTGGGATGAAACTGTTCCACCTCAGATCATCAGGCATTAGTTAGATTCTCATAAGGAGTGCAAGTTAGATCCCTCACATGCGTAGTTCACTGGGGTTCACATCCTATGAGAATCTAATGCCACCGCTGATCTGACAGGTGGTAGAGCTCAGGCAGTAATGCTCGCTGGCCTGCAGCTCACCTCCTACTGTGGCCTGGTTCCTAACAGGCCACCAACCGGTACTGGTCCATGGCCTGGGGGTTGGGGACCCCTGCTCTAGAGCATTCTAGAGACGTCTATATACTTCGCATTCTGTTACTGAAAGACATTCAATTAGTTCAGTTTCAGAGCTCTGCCACAGAACCACCTTCAGCGAAGATTCAAGTGCTGTAAATGAGGCTGGATCCAGAACCAGGTCCCATGGAAGGACCATCATGGGAGTGGGAGTGGGTTCAGAATCTAGCTTTCATATCAGGAGATAAGTGTGACTCAGCACACTCTGGTCTGGATGCCTCTGCTGATCACTTCCCTAGACTATGTAAGAGCACTCTGTGCCTCAATTTCCTTATTTGGAAAATGAAGAGAATAAGCACACATACTTCATGGGGTTGCATGAGAATTAAAGGAACTAGTATTTCATGAAGTCCATAGTGCCTGGCACACAGTAAGTGCTACAAACAAACAACAAAAGAGCCTGTGGTCACCTTCTAGTGCATCTTAACTCTACCCCCAGCACAGGCTTAACTTCCCAAGAACTGCAGCGCTTCCCCCAGGGCAGAAAGCCGTCTTCCTCTTGCTCCTTCCTCTCTACCTCCACTCTTAGTTGTGTTCCTTGGGACCCAGAATGGTTTTCCAGTTCTTGACAAGTCAGAGATACCTCAGTATCCATTTCCTGTCTCAGATTCTGAGCTTCCGAGGGTACAGCTACTTTGTAAATGGCTGCACTCAGTATATAAATGTTCATTGAATGAATGAATACATGCATGAAGCAAAGGCGGAGCCCACTTAAAGGAAGCCTGTGGCTTTGTCATTGGTTTCGGAACTTCTCAGCCTTCCTTTTATCCTCCACTTGGATCCTCTGCCTCTGTTCCATGTCCTTGATTTCTAGCTCCATGGCAAAGGAGTCAGTTTTCTGTCTGTCCTTCTTGTCTTTCATTTCTCTTTCACCCCTGATTATTGTCCTATGGTCCTTAACTTCACATCCTGAAGCCTGAAGACTAGTGTCTCCACTCAACTCCTTGGCTGGCCAGGGCTCTGGGTGTCTTGCTAACTGGGGCCCTTCTCACCTAGGAGTGGTGCAGTCCCAAGCGTGCAGGCTAGAGGGCATCATCTGTTCCGACAAGGTCAGTAGTGGCAGAAGCAGCACCTTCTCACTTGGGCCAGAGGTTCAGCTTTTTCAGACCAGCCGCCCTATGACTGGGGAGAAAGAACTCAAGACTTCACCTCTTCTTCCTCACCTCCTCAATGGCTCCAAAATGTCCCTCACACCTCACTCAAGAAGAGCAAGGTGTAAGTCTAGATGAGATACCCCTGAGGCAGAGTGCAGGCAGGGTCCTTCTGATACCACTAGGTGGCTAGAAATGGTGTCTAATGTGAAAGTTGTTGGATAGTAGAAATCTCAGTCTCTCTGTAGGAAACCAGTGAATGAAAAAGTACTTTGAAAGCCAGAGTTTGAGATCAGCCTGGGCAAAATAGCGAGACACCACAGCTACAAAAATAAAAAATTAGCCAGGCATGGTGGTGAATGCCTGTAGTCCTAGCTACTAAGGAGGCTAAGATGTGAGAGTTGCTTAAACCCAGGAGTTTGAGGTTACAGTGAGCTATGACTATACCACCGCACCCCAGCCTGGATGACAAAACAAGACCCTGTCTCTATATGTCTCTCTAAAAAAAAAAGGTGCTTTGAATTTGAAATTAGGGAAACACATCAGTAAGCAAGTCAGTTGACCTATTATGATGGATGATGTTGGTCTAGATTCTGAGTGGGTTACCAAAGGAAAACAGTCACTGATTCTTAGAACGTCTCAGAGTGTAGTTTCTCAAGTTCTTGCTCACAGTTCATTGCAATTCCACCGTTTTTTTCAACTTTCTTCAATACCTGCTCCTGAACCCCGCCCAGCATCCCCGGGTCACCATACCTCAGGTACAGGAGGTAGAAGTGCTCTCTGGCCTCAGGAATTTTGTTCCATTTTTCTTTACTGGAAGGAGTAAGGGTTCTTCTGACCCTGCCACATTCTCCATCCTCAAAGCTCACAAACCCATTAGTCTGTCAATGGGTTTGTGACATACTAACCCTTGCTCAAACCAGACTTTCTCTAAGAAATCTCAGATACCCTCCTTGCCCCTCAGAAGGAATCTCAGTGCCTTTCTCCTCTCCTCACCCAAATGCCTATTATGAACATAGACTGAATTTTTTAGGAATGTCCTGATAACAAAAATCCTTCCCATCATCCCCTTTATGTCGCCTCATTTTTCTCAGACTGTGTGTCACAACTGGGGAGTTGTGGTCACCATGCCCACAGGTATTACAGCAAAGCCTCTTAACCTTTTGTGTGCCATGGATTCCTTTGGCATGCCAGTGAAGCTTATGAACTCAGAATAATATTTCTAAATGCATAAAGTAAAAGAAATAGGGTTATAAAGGAAACCGGTAGTAGTAAAATACAGCTATCAAAATGTGGAAATGACAAATAGGTAATATATATGTGCTTCTTTATTAATGCATTAATGCATGATCTAGCAGTAGGCCTACAAACTGCTGACATTTCTAAGTAGTAATGAATATAAGTGATATTTTGAGATACCTGAAACCACTGTAATGTGATACAAAAATATTTGTGATTTCCATCAGTGGCAAAGTCATTGGTACTGCTAATACTATTGTGGTTTGTATTTGTTGCTTATCCTTATAATTGAAGAAAATGCTGAATTTCAATTAGAGGTTAGCAAAAAAAAAAAAAAGACATAGTGTCTTCTCATCTACCTTCTCCCAAGTTAAGAACTCCTGCATTAGAGGGTCTGTTGCTTTCATGATGCTATGAGGTCCCATGGAGGGGGGTCCCAAGAGACCACATCTTTTCCACTTTGGTAGCCCTTGGGTCAATCCAGCTCAGTGCTCACACATGGGAGACTCTCTGTGCTTGTTTGTGAAATTAAAAGGAAAAGAACTGGCTGGGTGTGGTGGCTCATGCCTGTAATCCCAGGACTTTGGGAGGCTGAGGCAGGTGGATCGCTTGAGCCTAGGAGTTTGAGACCAGCCTGGGCAACATGGTCAAACCTTGTCTCTACTAAAAACACATAAATTAGCCAGGCATGGTGGCATGCACCTGTAATCTCAGCTACTTGGGAGGCTGAGTCATGAGAATTGCTTAAACCCAAGAGGTGGAGGTTGCAGTGAGCAGAGATCACGCCACTGCACTCCAGCCTGGGTGACAGAGTGAGACTCGGTCTCAAAAAATAAATTAATAAAATAAAATAGAAGGGAAAGAACTGGTACATCCCTACTCTCTCAGGTGAAGAAACTGTTAAGTCAAGTCCTTGTCTGGATTTTTGTTCCCAACTCCAATTCCAGAGGAGGAAATAAATGCCCAGTGTCTCTTGCTCTGCAGGCACGGGGCAGGAGGAATTAACCAACTTTGGGGATCCAGCTATGTCAGAAGAAGTCTCAGGAGAAAGCCTGGAAACAAGTTGAGCTGGTTAAACAGAGCATGATGAAAAAACGCAGGAAAGGGAAATGATGTCACTCATGCTGGCAGCTTTGAGGACAAGGAAGCGAAAATGTACGCTTCTGATAGTCAACTACCCCGCCTATCCCACCCTGCTGTCTCCCAGGAAGGTAGCTGGAACTGCAAGTGGGGCAAAGCTCCCAGCACTACCAGCCAGTGGCAAGGGCCTTCACCTGCCCACCTTTTGAACTGAGGTTTTTCCTCCAGCAGAACCGAAGGCCCATGTGCTTCCCTGCAAAGTGATGCAACTGGGCAGGAAGCTCAGATGCCAGCAACTGTGATGTCCTAGATAGGGAAAACCCTGCATTGCAAACTCAGGTCTTCCTTTGGAAAAAAAGGAGTGGCTGGATTTCCTTCTTGCTGTCTAGAAAATTGTTTCCTGCCCAAAAATGGCTTAATTAGGAAGCTGAGTTTGTTTCCTAGGAAGGGATTCTCCTTCTCTTCCTTCTGCGCGGCTTACCTTTACAATGCCACTGGCACCGATTATAGCCTGACTCCCGGGTTTGGAACCTCACTTTCTCAAGCTGGCTTGATGTGCCCATGAAATGTACCCCTGGCTTCTCTAACACAGTTGCATCCCCCATCTGTTCCACTGGAGCACTAGCAAGGTGCCAAGCACTTGCTGCCCTTGAAGACCCCATGGTTCATGCGCAGCTATTCCCACATCTCTCCCCCACTATAAGAGTCTTCAGTGGCCCTATGGCCTTAAGGGGGAAAAGTCAAGAATTACAGAATTAAGAAAGCCAAGTAGAAAGGGGCTTAATAAATCATTTCATTTGTTTTCCCATAATTTACAGATAAGGAAAGGAAGTTATTTTACCAAGACCACACAATGAGGTGAAGGTAAAGCTAGAGCTAGAACTTCAGTTTCTAGACTCCCAGATCAAATTCATATTCCTTGGTATGGTATTCTTGGTCACTGATATTATAGCCATATTTCCAATTTGATTCTCCATGGCTTCTCCCCATGAAACCGAGCTCCAGCCAAACAAATCTATTTGCCAGTCCTCAAGTACCTTTTGGGTTTTTCTGTCCTCTCATTTCTGTTTTGAGTGTCCTTTGTTCAACTTCGCCCTCCTCTCTATCCCTCCCTAGCATCTCTGCTCATTTAAATTCTGCCTACCCTTCAAGGCTTATCTCAAGCTCTGCTATGTGATAGTGCCCTCCTCTGTGCCCCTTGGCACTTAACTTTCTGCGCACTCAGCAGTACTGATCTTGGTTCTGCAAACGTACCTCTTATCCTCCAACAAGGCTGTAGGCAGGTAGTGGCCAGAGACCTGCCCGGGGCATCTCTGTAATCCTCACAGCATTCAGCACAGTGTCTTGCACATAGTAGGCATTTAATAAATATCTATTGAAAGAATGGCTTTTAAGATCTATCAGACACAAGGATGATAAAAATGATCTTATGTGTCTATAGGTTTATATAAATATGCATATATATATATATAACTCCTGGGTGAGGCAGACAGACGATGTAGGTGTTATCTCCATTTTATTAATGAAACTGAATGCCCGAAAGGTGTAAAAACTAGACTTGGGTCACCCAAGTTCACCCTGAAAGTTGGTAAGAAAGTGAATATTAGGATTGGGTCTCCTGGCTCTCAGTCCCATGTGATCTTCAGTGCTAATACCCTCTACATTGTTTCCACTGAAGACTCATTTCTTCTACCAGAATTATGAGATGGGAAAAGCTTCCTTCTCAGTCTCATTTTTAAGAAAAGCTATTTACTATAGGAGTTTCTCATGCGTTAAGAGTGTCATGTACTGGAATGAACACTTACTGAATACAACTTTGGGGTCTGCCTTTTACCAGTTGAATGACCTTGGGCAAGTTACTTCACCTCTCTGAACTATGGTTTCCCCATGTATACAATGAAGGAATTAGACTCGTACTTAAAAATCACTTCTTGCTCTAACAGTCCAGGAGGAATAGTCTATCATTAGATAAGGAAATTCTTGCCATTGAGGTAGAATTCCTTATATGAAAGAAGATGTGTGTCAGGGGAGCCCCAGGGTCCCCTCATAAGTTAAATCATAGAGCTCAGGCTTTAGAACATAGCAGAAAGAAGGAACAGTGACAAATCAATATATTCATTCCATAGTCATCAAATGTTCACTGAGCACCTGCTAGGAGCCTTTGGGTGTTGGGACCAAGAAGATGAACAAGGAGCTCTCAGGTTTGTGAGAGATAGAGACATGCAACTAAAAAATTGTAGTTGACCGTGATAAATACAAAAAGCAATATACAAGGTAAAGTTAAGGTGAAAAGGTGGGAGGAATCAGTTCTGCCTTGGGAAATGGGGGTGAAGAGACAGATTAGAGTGGGGCAGGGGAAGTTTTGCAGAGGAGATGAGGTAAGTTGGTATCTGTACAGAATGTGATGTGGAATGTGGTAAGTGAATTTTAAAAGAATAAAGTATTTTGAACTGGGTGTGGGATCATACCTGTAATCCCAACAATTTGGGAGGCTGAGGAGGGTGTATTGTTTGAGCCCAAGAGTTTGAGACCAGCCTGAGCAACATGGTGAAACCCCCATCTCTACAAAATATACAAAAAAATTAGCCAAATATGGTGGCACGCACCATAGTCCCAAGTACTCGGGAGGCTGAGATGGGGGGACCACTTGAGCCCAGGAAATTGCAGTGAGCTGTGATTGTGCCACTGCACTCCAGCCTGGGAGACAGAGAGGGACCCTGTCTTAAAAACAACTCAAAAAAAAAAAGGATAAAGTATTTTGAGATAGGAAAAGGGGAGACTTGATTATTAAAATAGAATTGGGAGGCCAAAATGGGCGGATCACGAGGTCAGGAGATTGAGACCATCCTGGCTAACATGGTGAAACCCCATCTCTACTAAAAATACAAAAAAAATTAGCCGGGCGGGGTGGTGGGCACCTGTAGTCCCAGCTACACGGGAGGCTGAGGGAGGAGAATGGCATGAACCTGGCAAGTGGAGCTTGCAGTGAGCCGAGATCGCACCACTGTACTCCAGCCTGGGCGACAGAGTGAGACCTGTCTCAAAAAAAAAAAAAAAAAGATTTGGGATTGTGTGTGAATACTAAGTTTAATTAATCATTACAGGTAACTTAAAACAATGCAATTGGGTTCTTCTTGGTTAATGAAAAGGAATTGACTGACATGACTGGCTTATACAAGCCTAGATTTACTGAAAATCTTGATTTCAACTATTCTCATCAGACCACATCTCCCGATTTTACTTTAATCACACTTATATATGATCATGAGAAATGGTTAACTTGGCACCAATGATGGAAAAATAGGCATGAGCTTAAATAGTTTAAGAGATATTTAGATTAGATATTTGTACATATTTTCAACATTTATCAAGCATTACAATAAAAAGCCATGGTCTTTATTTTCAGGAAACTTTAAGAAGATATCAAAAGATGTTGAAAAGAACATTCTGATCCAAAAGGTAGAAACACAAAGAGTCATTGAATGTCAGAACAGGAAAAGACCTTACACACTGTTTAGTCTGTTTCTCTCATTTTACAGATTTGTAAACTGAGATCCAGAAAGACACAATCATATGCCAAAGTCATACTGTAATGTGGAGTCTTTGGACTCAAATATAAGACTTCAGAATTTTAGATATTTAATTTTTAATAAGTTGATAAAGAACATATGATAGTCTCTACCATCTTTATGTTTCCAAGGCGTTGTCTATAATTCATCCCAGGTTCTTTGAATTTAATTTTGTCTGGGAGCATGGTCCTACATGATGGACTAGTCCCAGCCTAAAAAATTTTCCAGTGTTATTAGGGAGAAAAGACCAAGTTCCATGAAACACAGGACAACATTAGATGCTTTCACTGCCAAAGAAAAATCTGCTATTGGAAGTCAGAGAAGGGAGGGATTGGTATAGCCCAGAGTTGTTCAGGAATAAAGGATTTGGGTTTCATCTTTAATGATGACTAGAGGGAAGGGTGGCCATGTTGGAGAGCAATGGTGGGGATAGCAAGGGCTGAGGAAAAACAGCAGGAATGAGCCCACAGTGTCTGGAGTTGTGGAGAAACTTGGTTAAGGGGAACTGGGTTTAGAGGAGAGAGCAGGAGAATCCCCCAGAATTCTCTTCCAGTTCAGTAACTCAGATCTTCTCTATCCATCATTTTATCAAGCAGGAAGGTGGAGCCAGAAGGAGGCACATCCTTTATCCACAGCTACAACCAGTAATCCCCTCAGGCAGTGCTTCTTCCAGGAGGAAGGTGTTGGGGTAATCTGTCCTGCAATTAAGCTGCTGTAGTGCTTGAGGAAGAACAATGCCACCAGAGAAATTCCAAGGGAGTTCCAGCCCTCACCTGCCTGAGCTCACTTCCTTCATGTGACATGTATATACAGATATAAATAATGGGAAGCCTTTCAACTTGAAACAGGCTCCTAGGAGACCAGAAGCAGCAGCCTTTCCTGAGCTCAGGTAAGAGATCTTACCCTCTACTGACACTGCTCACGTTGTTGTGAGGATCACCTACTTCTCCTAATCATTTACCCAGGTATGTTCAAGGTCACATCTAAAGGACCCTTTTCCACGAGGACAAAATCTCTTTGAGGACAAATAATCATCATGTTTATCTTTGTACTTCAGTACCTAGCACAACATTCAAGACAGCGGGTGCTCATTAAATGCTCATCAAATTGTTAGTTCAGGACAACTAACATCAATCTCTACTTAAAATGAATTGATCACTTGCTCTGTGCTAAGTGTATAAATCATAGATTATTGTATTTAAATAATCGATTTAAAATCAAAACAATTTCTGGGTTAAGTTTAATTATCACCATTTTGGGGTTAAGAAAATTAAACTCAGAGGTGAGTTGACTTGTCCAAGGTCACATAGAGGTAGGGTGGCCAACTCATTCCAGTTTACCTGTGGTTTTTCCAGTTTTAAAACTGAAATTTTCGTATTTCAGGAACCATTCCCTGCCCCCCAACCTCAGTGCTGGGTAAACTGGAATGACCCACATCAATGGAAACTAGTAAAGCGAGGATTTATTTGGACCCAGTTCTCTTGTCTCCAAACCCAGAGTCCTCTTTGATTCTTTTGGGTTTGGTTTGCTTTTTTCCTTTTCCTACATTTGACAGTATCTCGAGTGGTCACAAATGTAAAAAATGTCTAGCATATTGCCTGGCATATAGGAAAAATTCAGTAAGTGATAATGATTATCAGTGCTGTGCCAAGCTATGGAGCCAGCCATATATATATGGATGTGTGCATATATATATATGATGTGTGTGTATATATATATGTCTTTATAAATTTTATGTATTTATTTCTTTCAAAAATATTAAAGTATTTGAGAAAATTGAAAAATTAAAAAGTAGGTTTATTACGACTCATGACTTTAAGTTTAAATATTTTATTTCTGCCCCAAACAAAATTTATTATAATTTTACTGTCCTGGTTTTAAGGGAAGGAAACTCATCAATAATATTTTCATCATATGCTTTTGAGAAACAAAGTTAACCATTAAGAATGAAACATGAAAACATGTGAATAGTGGTACAAATTTTTCCTTTTGCTTCAATATGGCTCAGCATGGCACTGTCGAATTTTGTCTTTATATAAAATTTTGATATTTTGTTTGTCATAAGCTTTTTAATTCATTTTGATATTGCACTAAAATATTTTTATCTTGATGACTGAGGTTTTTTAGTGCTCCCTTAAATTTTGCACCTAAAATGAGTGCCTCAATTGTTTTACCCTAACCTCAGCCCATTATTATTTTATCTTAAAACTCAGCAAACACCCTAACCTGCTCTCTTACTGAGGAGGCTCGCCCAAGAATAAATGAGTTCCGTCATTGCCTTTCTTCTCTGACTTTTGGGACCATTTGCTTGGTCTAGGACCTGAGTTGCAGGTCCAGGAAAGCGTGTACTCTCGAATCCACCCAGGAGTGCCTGACTACAGTCCTCCTGCAGAGGGCGCTGTGGAGTCCCAGACACGAGTGTTAGGTGGAATCGGGCTGATTGCCCATCACGTCTTGCCTTTCCCTGGCAGTAGGCTTGTTATGAAATCATTGACTTTCTATTTGCCTCTGGGGCTTAAGCGAATCTGTTACCCTCAAATAACCTATCTGATCTCAGACAAATGCCAAACAGAGCTCAGTTTCTCTGCCCTGTGGGTGGCCATAAAATCCAGACAATTTCCCCCTAGGTGTTTTCGATGGCGCAGCCACAGCTTCTGTGAGATTCGATTTCTCCCCAGTTCCCCTGTGGGTCTGAGGGGACCAGAAGGGTGAGCTACGTTGGCTTTCTGGAAGGGGAGGCTATATGCGTCAATTCCCCAAAACAAGTTTTGACATTTCCCCTGAAATGTCATTCTCTATCTATTCACTGCAAGTGCCTGCTGTTCCAGGCCTTACCTGCTGGGCACTAACGGCGGAGCCAGGATGGGGACAGAATAAAGGAGCCACGACCTGTGCCACCAACTCGCACTCAGACTCTGAACTCAGACCTGAAATCTTCTCTTCACGGGAGGCTTGGCAGTTTTTCTTAGTAAGTTGCGTGGATGGGCCACACTGTCTGAGGCCAGATAAGGCTGTTCTCTTCCCCTGACCCCCCACCCCTCACCCCGTGGACACTTGGAGGAGGGGAAACTCAGTAAGTCATGCTCTCTTCTTTGAATTCCTAGCTCCTGTGGTCTCCAGATTTCAGGCCTAAGATGAAAGCCTCTAGTCTTGCCTTCAGCCTTCTCTCTGCTGCGTTTTATCTCCTATGGACTCCTTCCACTGGACTGAAGACACTCAATTTGGGAAGCTGTGTGATCGCCACAAACCTTCAGGAAATACGAAATGGATTTTCTGAGATACGGGGCAGTGTGGTACGTAAGCGGGTATCTACCTCTCCTGAAAGCCTTTTCTCTTCCTTCCTTGTCCGTTTCTCTTTCCTGGCAGTACTGGCAGTGTAATCATAAAAAGAGGCAGGCTGGGGATTCCTTACCCGGGGGATGTATTCCAAAGAAATAACTGTAGTTCAAATATTTAAAATGTTTTGGGAAAGGACACCTCCCACTAGTTCTTGGCAGGGAGTGGATGAGAAGTCTTGATATTGAAGACCCTGGCAGCAGGCACTGACTCATCCTTGCTTGTTTTGTCTTCTTCTGTTTAGCAAGCCAAAGATGGAAACATTGACATCAGAATCTTAAGGAGGACTGAGTCTTTGCAAGACACAAAGGTATGTGCTTGGCCCAGACAAACTCTGGGAGGAGGAGTGGAGTGGGAGCATCTCCATCACCCTGGTCTTGTCTCTGCTCTCCCCTTTCCCCTCACCAATATACCTGTGGTTTTTTGCAGCCTGCGAATCGATGCTGCCTCCTGCGCCATTTGCTAAGACTCTATCTGGACAGGGTATTTAAAAACTACCAGACCCCTGACCATTATACTCTCCGGAAGATCAGCAGCCTCGCCAATTCCTTTCTTACCATCAAGAAGGACCTCCGGCTCTGTGTGAGTGTGGGTCTTGGGTGACAGGATGCATCTCAGCACACAGCTTCAATGGCTTAGCAACTAAACTCTCTTTCCTACCTCCATTTAATGGATGGAGAAACTGAGTCCAAAAGTTCTAATAATCTGTGTTGAGACATGTGACTAGGTAATAAGAACTCAGTTTTATTGACTTTTCGGTATATGCTCTAGGCAAAAAGTACTTTGCAAAGTCTAAAGAACTATAAGATGCTAACTATTTGATATTAATGATAACTCTGTTGTCTTTGAAATTATACTTTTTCTGTAGGTGAGGTATCCTACAGTATATTAGTGCGTCCTCTGTCTAGGCAGTCAATTAGTAGACCATTGAGCTTGACCTCAGAATATAGTCTGAATAGGACCTAGGAATTCAATTCTTTTTTTTTTTTTTCTCATGGGGGCTCAAAGAGCTCTGGGATAGAGCTCCTAGACTACAGCTGGGGGTTGTGGGGAGGCCAGATGGGGTACGGGGATGGCAAATGCCTTCAGTACTGCCTGCCTATTTCTAAAAAAGAAGTGATGAGTTCCATGTTTGAGCCTAAAAGGTGGCTTCCTCTCCTAGCTGATGATGAACTTAGTGATTCCAAATGTGAGGTCTGAAAGAGCTTTTCTATAGGAATAAGCATCCTCAGGGTTGTGGGTGAAAGAGTAGAGTTTCTGCCTGCTTCATGTCAATGGCAAAAAATCAGAATCTGTAATATAATCTATTATTCTTTGGGTCCTTTTCAGCATGCCCACATGACATGCCATTGTGGGGAGGAAGCAATGAAGAAATACAGCCAGATTCTGAGTCACTTTGAAAAGGTATATGCGACTTTGGCATTGATTGGGATGGGTGTGTTTTAAGAACTGAGATCATAGGTAGGTGGGATGGTTATTCACTGTTAGACATCCTGTAGCCTTCAGGTTCATAGCCCTCTGAAATCATGAGGACCAGCCCTTGCTTTAACCCAGGGGACACCCATCCAGGCTCTAGAGGAGTACCCTCTCTGGGTGATGCTCTGGAAATGGAAAGGGAATGGCCATGATTCCATCAAGTCACTACAGTGACATCTGGATCTTTTAGCTGCACAAACCAGAGGCAATAGTTTTACAATGTTCACACACTTCTATGTACCTTTGAAAACACTCACAATTTCACACACACACCCATGCCATTCAATTTCTCACCTTCACACCTTCTCATGTCTGCCAGGAAGGCCTGGATTTCACTCCTCACTGACTAAATCCTACTCATCCTTTAAAGACTCAGCCTGGGCATCACTTTCAGGAAGGTGCTGGCTCCTTCTCTCAGAGTTAGATGCCTCCCACATCATCTTGTAGGAATTTCATCCCTTTATTCACCACACTACATTTTAGTTGCCTGTTTTTGCCAGTCTCCTCACTCAACTGTGGATAGGGATTGTGCCATTCACCTTTTCATCCCTAACCATCAGCTAGGTGATTGGCACAATCAATATCTGTTCAACTGATGTGTGCACCGTAGGCAACCCCTACACACACACACAGGCACGTGCACACACACACACACACACGTTTCTTAAAGAAAATAGCTTGATTATTTTGATCTCTGTGATTCAAGAGTCTTAAGTAGCAGTTTTACTTCTGCTACCCCCTTGCACCTCAGTTTCTGTACATAAGACCAGGGTGATGAACTCAATGATTTCCCTTCCTTGTGTGATATCTTGAGATTCTATAACTTCTTTAAGTGCTTCATCTTGAAAAGAATGCTCTGCTTACAATTGTCAGCAGACCTATCCATAAAAGAGATAGGTCCTGGAGCAAATGCTGTCTCATGAATTGCTAACCACATGGGTGTGTGTCTCTTTCAGCTGGAACCTCAGGCAGCAGTTGTGAAGGCTTTGGGGGAACTAGACATTCTTCTGCAATGGATGGAGGAGACAGAATAGGAGGAAAGTGATGCTGCTGCTAAGAATATTCGAGGTCAAGAGCTCCAGTCTTCAATACCTGCAGAGGAGGCATGACCCCAAACCACCATCTCTTTACTGTACTAGTCTTGTGCTGGTCACAGTGTATCTTATTTATGCATTACTTGCTTCCTTGCATGATTGTCTTTATGCATCCCCAATCTTAATTGAGACCATACTTGTATAAGATTTTTGTAATATCTTTCTGCTATTGGATATATTTATTAGTTAATATATTTATTTATTTTTTGCTATTTAATGTATTTATTTTTTTACTTGGACATGAAACTTTAAAAAAATTCACAGATTATATTTATAACCTGACTAGAGCAGGTGATGTATTTTTATACAGTAAAAAAAAAAAACCTTGTAAATTCTAGAAGAGTGGCTAGGGGGGTTATTCATTTGTATTCAACTAAGGACATATTTACTCATGCTGATGCTCTGTGAGATATTTGAAATTGAACCAATGACTACTTAGGATGGGTTGTGGAATAAGTTTTGATGTGGAATTGCACATCTACCTTACAATTACTGACCATCCCCAGTAGACTCCCCAGTCCCATAATTGTGTATCTTCCAGCCAGGAATCCTACACGGCCAGCATGTATTTCTACAAATAAAGTTTTCTTTGCATAACATCTGCTTGGAGTTTGCAAATGTTTCAAGAGCAGAGACCATGTTGAGGATAAGTTTGAATCTCATTTCACCCCAGGTCCTCTTGCTCCTTTGAGGAAGAAGATGTAGGAACCTCGATCTTCTCTCTCCTGCAGATTTCATCCTCAGCTCTATCTCCTAATTCATACTGCTCTGACCCCACGACTGCCCTCCTCTCAAAAGGACTGTGACAGAGTGAGGGGCTTCAGCCATCTCTGCTTTCGCCTCATTGGCTTGGAGCACTGCCCTTTCTATACCTCTGTTTTCTTTCTCACCCCATACCCTTGCAAGACAAATTACAATGGGCATGAGGCGCTATTATAAAGGTTAAAAACACACAGGTGCAAAGTGTAGGTCTAGAGTCTTGCCCAGACAGGTGTATGAGCCCCCTTTTGAGGCCCTTCCATTTTGGATTCTGTCCAGCCTCAGAGTTTAGGTTGTTACCAGATCAAGTCCTTATCTTTGTGTCCAACTATTAAGTCAGTGTTTTCTTTCCAGGCCCCCTTCAGGTTGAGTGTCCCTGGACACTGAGGAGCCAGAGTTCTGGCCTGGGCTGGTTCCTTCCTTCTTCCCCCACCTCACTCTGAAGCGCACCCCCAATTTAGTTGCTTAGTTTTCTCAGTCTCAGAAACAACAGTCTCAGGCTGATTCCCTGGGTCCTAAAGATAACTCTCCTTACTGCTTTAATTTCTACTCCCTGTTCTTAGCCTGGGCCCTGATATAGTTTCAATGACTTTAACTTTTGATAACTCTCATTATACAAGTAACAGCTGCCCAACAGAAAAGAAATTTTGGAAGAAAACAGAAATATAAAGAAGAAAATTAAAATCACCCATAATCTCACCACCCTCAGACAACCACTTTTAAACATTTATGCTTATTTTTTCCAGATATTTTTTGATGGGTTCAAATCATGACTCAGCTCTCATTACCTGAGTGATTTGTGGGGGCAAAACTGAACTTTATTTGGACTTAGTTTCTTCCTTTGGGAAACAGAATGGTAATATCTACTTTACAGGGTGACGGAAGAGGTGGTCTTTTATGTTCCTTTGATTTGCTCCCTTGCTTTTGTAAGTTCATACTCCCACTATTGTTGCCCATTTTCTATCAGGTTTTTACCTCTTTTCACCCTTCATCTATCAGGTTTTTCAGTTGCATATTTCCTGATTCTCTCTGACCAATCTGATAAACAACTTGG
Organism: Homo sapiens; assembly: GCF_000001405.40. Lineage (NCBI taxonomy): Eukaryota > Metazoa > Chordata > Mammalia > Primates > Hominidae > Homo > Homo sapiens. Next base: position 206,870,438 of record NC_000001.11, read on the forward strand.
CTTCAACTCTGAAAAAACAGTGTTCAGAAGTCAACCACATGGAACTCAGTGCTAAAATTAGAATCATCACCTCCAAGGGATGCTACATGGCAAGGAGGAAGCTGGTTTCATCTGCTAAGGATATGGTGAGTGTCTCCCAGATGACCATGTCTGAGTTTGACCACAGAGCTAAAGACACAGCTCCTCTATTTGCTTCCTAGGAAGGCTTTTTCTTTTCTTTCTTTCTTTTTTTTTTTTTTTTTTGAGACAGGTCTTGCTCTGTTTCCCACGCTGGTCTTGAACTCCTAAGCTCAAGAAATCTTCCCACCTCAGCCTCCCGAGTAGCTGGGAATAGAAGTGCATACCACCACACCTAGCTAATTTTTGTATTTTTTGTAGAGACAGCCTGTTGCCCTGGCTGGTCTTGAACTCCTGAGCTCAAGTGATCCACCTGCCTCAGCCTCCAAAATGCTGAGATTACAGGACTGAAGCCAAAATGCCCAGCCTTAGGAAGCATTTTTGACTCTTCTGAAAGTCTGGGCGATAGGAAGCCTTGGTCTTTGGGGACTCCATGTCACTATGTTGCCATTGTCTTGTTACCCTTTGCCTGTCTATTCGTCTTCCCTGAAGAACCCATCTTCTCCTCCAAGTCATTTGTCTCTTTTCTTCTTGACTTACTGTAGCACTACATGAGGGAATTCAACAATGTTGAATAATGAGGAATTCAACAATGGAGACATCAAAGTAGACTGGAGGTTAAGGGAAAACTGCACAAAGATGGGACCATTGAGGACAGACACTGAAGAATGGTTTATGATAGTCACTTCTGATTACAATAACCAAAATTATTATTGTCAAGTATTAAGCACTTAGCATGTGCCAGGCGTTGTAATGGAAGCTTCACATATAGTACACTATTTAATCCTTAAAACAACCTTAGTCTTATTGAAACAACTAATCTTACTACCAGTTTGCAAATGACAGTGTGCTCAGAAATGGTAAGTAATTTGTGCAAGGTTTTACAGCTAATAGAAGTCAGAACCAAGATATGAATGTGGGTGGTCTGATACCACAGCCCTACATACTTTTGGACTTTCTTGTCCTTTTTCCCAACAATGGCATCTTGTCTTCAGAAGCACAGCAGAAAGGAATAATGAGGTTTAGTTTCCTAGAGACATAAGTAAAAATTCTGACTCTGACTCTCACTGTCTTGGACAAGGGACATCACCATCTTCAGTTTTTCATCTGCAAGGTGGGGATATTACTTGCCAGACTGAATGGATATGAGGACTAAATGAGATTGCAATAGCTAATTTGTACCAGTACTTATAATGTAAGTGTTCTAAGCATGTTACAAATATCTGGCCATCTAATTTGCACAAGAGCATGATGAGATATTTCCATTATTATTCCCATTTTACAGATGAGGAAATTGAAGATGAGAGGTAAAATATCATGTTCAAGTTCACTAGCTACCAATGGTGGAGATAAAATATGAATGCACGTGGGAAGACTGGAGAGCCATGCTTTTAACCCCTGGACTTTGCTGGATGGGTAGAATGCCCAGGACATACAAAGCACCTGACCAGCAGCAGCTCTGGCCACTATCAGAGGAAAATGATGAGGTTTCCTGCCAAGCTATAGCACTAACAATTAATTTCCTGGTGCAACTTACCTCTGTGACATCTGTGCTGAATTTTGTTTCTCTATGGGTCTAAATCTTGTTTCTTCAACAAGCAGAGCATAAGTTCCTTTGGAGATGACAAGATAAATACGTTAAATCTCAGGTTGACCTATCAGGTCTGGTTAGTATTAGCGGTTAGACCTTAAATAGGCCACTCCCCTTCTCTGGAGGGAGTACATATTCTGCTGACAGACTGAATATACAAACAGACAGTGGCCAGGCCATATCTAAAAATAGAACTCTGACCCACAATCTGCAACAACCAGCCCAGGAAGCCAATCCATCCAGCCCAGGAAGCCAGCCTACTCTCAATATGTCAGACTCTCAAGGAAGTAAGATCACTATCACTAGCAATCAGCCCCGGAAGCAATAACACCTTTAACAATTGGCTCCAAATGGGCAGGACTTGATTAATAATTGACAGCTTCTCTAATTTTTGTCCCTGCTTCCAACTTAGGATAGGCCAGAGAAAGTCAAAAATATAAACCCCAATCACATAGGATGCCCACTTCTAGTCAGCATGCCTACAGCTTCTCCATGCAAACAGCCTCCATTCAGGGGATACCTGAAGCTTTTCTTTATCCAAGTCTAAAGCTTTCCTACTCCTCTGCCTGCCTTGACATCTCTGCCAAAATGCAGGTGATGATGGCTGACTCCCTCGCTAGAGGAAGCTCTGAATAAATAGCCTTGCTTGTTCTCATTTGGGTGGTTTTCAATTATTTCCACACTGCATTTGTAAAATGACAGGGTTGGAATAGATGATTCTGGGTTCTAGAAACTAGATGTGTTACCACTGTCTCAGGGAACCAGATGTAGCTGCTGCCACAATTGCCTTCCATTAGCGAAAAGGAACCTGCATGGTTTCTGTATCACCAGCTTTGGATTCAGAGTTCAATGAATGCATCTGATTGCACAGGCCGAGATGAGATGAGGCCATGTGCTCTGGATGACAAGGAGGCTGGACAAGCTTCCTCTGATGGGAGATGGGCTCTTTCTCAAAAGGAGCGGCATCCCAAACTTAGGAATGAGGTCCAAGCCCAGGTGACCAAAAAGACTTTAAAAAGTCTACTATATCCCTCATTTCCACCATGGCTTGGGGTTGCTCAGACTCCCTATTTGCAAAGATTCAGGTCTTTTCTAACATACTCCACTGTAGCTTTGTCTGCCTGTCCCTCTCCATATGGATGGAGAACAAACGGACCATTCCCTCGCTGGACTCCTAAGTTCCTGGAAGTTAGGGCTATGTTGTCTTTTTAGCTTTTTAGCCTGCCACACCCTACCCCATCTCAGCACAGTATAATGCTACATTATTAATAAGGACTGAATCTGAAAGCAAGATAATGGAAAGTGTTTTTTTAAAAATATATCAAATGTAGTTGCTTTTTATTTGTAAATGGCTGTTAGCTGATTTTTTCATGAGTTAAAGGCCTTTGGCCTTTGTTAGAAAACAGATAATCCACCCTGCTCTGCAAACTGGGCCTTGCTCACGGGAGGCAGTACAATAAATGGCAAAAGAATGACTGAATATAGCCACTCACTTATTTCACTGGGAGATTGGGAACAAAAAAGGTGACATTTGCCAGTTCAGTTCAACTGTCAGGAGCACAGTGAGTCAATCACTTAACGGGAAGAGAGTAGGACTCAGAGGCCTGGAGGCAGGAAGCCATGAATTGTAAGAGTGCTCACACCTTTCTGTGTACATTCTTAGTCTTCTAGAATGTTAGAAGTGGGAAGGAATGTTCATAGAGAATATGCAGATCTACATAGAGAATATGCAGATCATTTTCGAGGGTCCAGAGAGGAAAAGTGATTTGCCAAAGGTTAATACAGTGAGTTATGGCCGAGTTGGCATTAAAATTCAGTTCCTGGCTGGGCATGTTGGTGCATGCCTGTAATCCCAGTACTTTGGGAGGAAGAAGTGGGTGGACTGCTTGAGCCAGGAGTTTGAGACCAGTCTGGGCAACATAGTAAGACCTTGCCTCTACAAAAAAAAAAAAAAAAAAAAAAAAAAATTAGGTGAGAGGATCTCTTGAGCCTGGGAGATTAAGGCTGTACTTAACCATGATCCTGCACTACACTCCTGACTGGGTGACAGAGTAAGCCTCAGAAAAAAAACAAAAAAAATTCAAGTCCCTGTACATCCAGGTCCAGTAAACCTCAGTTCAATTCAAGAAGAACTAAATGTTATCCAGATTACAAATGAAGAATGTATTTATTCATAGATGACATGATTATCTAGGTAGAAACATCCAATGGAATTTACAAAAAGCAACAAACTAGGTGCAATGGCTCATGCTTGTAATCCCAGGACTTTGAGAGGTTGAGGCAGGAGGATCACTTGAGCTCAGGAGTTCGAGTCCAGCCTGGGCAGTAGAGTAAGGCCCCATCTCTACAAAAAGTTAGCTAGGTGTGGTGGCAAGCATCTGTGGTCCCAGCTACACAGGAGGCTGAGGTGGGAGGATTGCTTGGGCCCAGGAAGCCAATGATGTAGTGTGCTGTGTTCCCACCACTGCACTGCAGCTTTGGTGACAGAGGGAGACCCAGTCTCAGCAATAACAACAAAAGCAACTAGAACTAATAAGAAAGCTTAGTGAAGTTGCAGAATACAAGATCAATATACAAAAACAAGTTGTATTTCCATACACCAGCAACACACTCTTGGAACTTGAAATTTTTAAAGATTACTAATTACAATAGCATAAAAAATGAAAATACTTGGGGATAAATCAGGGACAGAAGATTTAAAAGATCTCTACTGGAAACTGCAAACCATTGCTGGAAGAAATTAAAGACGATCTAAATAATAAATATATACCATATTCATGGGTTAAAAGATTCAACTTTATTAAGATTTTCTCCCCAACATGATCTATAAACTTAAGGCATTCACAATCAAAATTCCAGCTGCTTTGTTTTAGGTAAAATTTATAAACCAATTTTAAAATTAATATAAAATGAAACAGATTAAAAATGGCCAGAATAACTTTTAAAAAGAACAAAATTGGAGGATTAATATTATCTGATTTCAAATTTATATAAAGCTATGGCAATTCAGACAGTATAGTATTGATGTAAAGATAGAAGATCGAAAAATAGATCAATGGAACAGAATAGAAAGTCTTGAAAAGACCCATGTATATATGGACAATTGATTTTCAACAAAGTACAACAGCAATTTGGTTAAGATAAAATAGTCTTTTAAAGAGATGGTGCTATAGTAGTTGGGTAGCCAAACAGCAAAAAAAAACGGGGCAAAACAAAACAAAAAACACAAAATAAAAACAAAAAACCCAAAAAACCAAAACAAAAATCAAACAACAACAACAACAACAAAAACCCTTGGATTCATACCTCACTTCATAATTAAAACTTAACTAAAAATGGACCCTGGATCTAAGTGTACAACTACACAACTTCTCAAGGAAAACTCTTGTGACTTTGGATTAGTCAAAAATTCTTTAGATTTAGCAGCAAAAGCACAATCTATAAAAGAACAAATTGGTAAGTTGTACTACATCAAAGTTAAAAATTTCTGTTCTTCAAAAGACATCTAAGAAAATGAAAAGATAATCCATAGTCAGGGAGAAAACATTTATAAATCCTGTATATGATAAAGAACTTGTGTCCAGAAAACATAAAGAATACTCAGAACTCAATTACAAGAAAACAATGCAATTTTCTAAATGAGCAAAAGATTTGGACACCAAAGAAGATAAACAAATGCCTGCCTCCACCCTCCCCCCTCCCCCAAAAAACACATGAAAAGATGCCCAACATCATTTGTCAGTACGTAAGTGCAAATTAAAGCCACAATAAGATAGCACACCTGTTAGAATGGCTACAATTAAAAAGAATGAACACACTAAGTGTTGGAGAAGTTGTGGAAGAACTAAAATTGTCTTATACTGCTGATGATAAGAATGTAAAATGGCACAACCACTTTGGAAAACAGTTTATTGGTTTCTTAAAAAGCTATATGACCCAACTATTCCACTTCTACATATTCATCCAAGAGAAAAGGAAGAATATGTCCATACAAACACTTATACAAGAACGTTCATGTCAGCTTTATTTTTAATAGTCAGCAATTTCAAACAATCTTAATGTCATTAACAAGTGAATAGGTAAACTAATTGCAGTAGATATGTGCATTATCTTGATGGTGGTGAAGGTTTTATAGGTATATACATATGTCGAAACTTACCAAACTGTATACTTTAAATATGTGCAGTTTATTGCATGCTAATTATTGCCCAGTAAAGGTGTGAAAAATTCAATTCAAGATAATTTCTTTTCTAGGCATTGTGGATGTTACAAATGCATAAAGAGAGTATGTGGTAGGGCAGTCATGTCCAGCAATATGAGGCTCAATGTGATTAAGGCAAGACGTTCATGCAGGGAGGTCAGGGAAGGCTTTCTGAAAAATGGATCTTGGATTGGACTTTTAAGGTCCAATTTGATGTCAGTGAGGGGCATGGGAAGACAGGGACCTTGAAGTCCTGCTAGCCCAGGGAAGTGGCTCAATCCTGAACTAATATCTATATTCTCTATCACATTTATGGCATATCATAGTTCAAAATACTTTTATTTAAATTATTTAATTTGTTTCTTTATGTACCACCTCCTATGAAAGTGATTGAGAGAGGCTTATATGAACACATACAATACAACAAGAGTTAAAGAAAATAGATGAAACACGTGGAATACAGACAATATAACGAAATTGTGATAAGATCATTTCACAAAGGATATATGATAAGGTTCTGAATCATAAGTTGGTAGAAGGATTAAAATTTGGCTCTGAACTTTCTAAAGGATGGAACAAAGAGAGAAGCATGATCATTACAAAAAGTACCGAGCATTCTTTACCAATAACTTGGAAAAGGAAAAAAGGAACAACTTACCAAGCACTTTGTCTAGGTTCTCTCATTCAAACCTCACATACCCTGAACAGTGGGCCTGTCTTTCCTACAGATGGCAGAGATCAGTGATTTCTGGAGCTGTTATGGAGATGGTTAATATGTGGAAGTAGCTCCCTCTTTGTCTTGCATAAAGGAGGGAACTGCTGCTGGTCTTTAAATGAATCTTTTCACTGAGAAGGATTCAGAAAGAATCTAAAAAATTCTTTTCAGAGACAGAAAATCAGCTTTGAGGACGTGTGCAGTGGCTTACGCCTGTAATCCCAGCACTTTGGGGGCCCAAGGTGGGCAGATCACTTGAGGCCAGGAGTTTGAGACCAGCATGACCAACATGGCAAAACCCCATACATGCAAAACTTAGCCAGGTGTGCTGGTGGACACCTGAAATCCCAGCTACTTGGGATGATGAGGCAGGAGAGTCTCTTAAACTGGGAGGTGGAGGCTGCAGTGAGCAAAGATTGTGCCACTGCACAATTAACTGCAACAAAGCAAGACTCTATCTCAAAAAAAAAAAAAAAAAAGAAAAAGGAGAAAAGAAAACCAGCTTTGGATCATCTCGATCTATGATTAGATGAAGATGATATGGAATTACTAATCCCCTAGCTTTCTTCTAGACACAAATGTAAATCCACCTCAGAGGAAGATACTATTATTACAATGTGAAAACATCTGAAAGTATTAGAGACGTAACAAAACAGGCATAACTATAGGGCCAAGGTTTGGGAGATGAAAACTCACAGAAGTGAGCCCAGTGTTGGGGGATGCTTTTCCCCTAGGGATATAATCTAAATTCACAAAAATTGATGTAAGTTTGGAAGACTGAGAGGCTGAAAATAAAGGTATTTTTCTCAGAGCCTGCTAAAGAAGGCTCTGGCAACCTCCTTTCCAGGCTTTGGGTTGGGATCTCAAGGTGCTACAACCTAGGAGTGAAATTGCCTTTGCAAAAATTATGACAGTGAGAGAAATCTGACAGAAAAATTATGACAGTGAAATAAATCTGACATAACTAATTCCATCTTTCCTGTAATCTTCAAGTTGCCCTTGTCCATTCCTGGACATAAGCCAAGCTAACTACGGGAGGAATTTAGTTTATAGTTTAACTTTAAAACAAAGATGATAATACCCCCTTCCTGAAACTAACTTGCTCCTTGCTCAGGGACTGAAACTACCTGTGCAAAACTAAACTTAGCAATATGGTTAGAATTATAGTTCAGGAGTCATGTAGCCAGAGGTCACAAAATTTGTAACCTCCCCAATTTCTCCTATAGATAGCATCACTATTGTCAACCTAAGATTGGTATTTGAGGTATTTTCCAGACCCTGCATTTTGATGGACCAGCTGATGGTCCACCTGAACCAGTAACCCATACCAAGAAACTTGCCCATTTGGTGTTGTGACCCCCACCCAGAAACTGACTCAGCATAAGAAGACAGCTTTGATCCCCTATGATTTCATCCCTGACCCAACCAATCAGCATTCTCCATTCCCTAGATCCCTGCCTTCCAAATATCCTTGAAAAGCCCTAGCCTCTGAGTTTTTGAGGAGGCTGATTTGAGTAAGAATTACTCCCATCCATTTGCTCAGCTACCTAGCCCTGTGATTATTAAACTCTTTCTCTGCTGTAATATCACTGTCTTGGTGGATTGGCTTTATCTGTGCAGTAGACAAGAAGAACCCACCTGGTGGTAACAGCAGAAATGGCAATTCATAAATAGGCTAGTTATACCAGGGACAGAAAACCAGCTTTAAATCATCTCAGTCTATGATTAGATCAAGGTAATATGGGATTACTAATCCCCTAGCTTCCTTCCAGAAGCAAATGTAAATCCATCTCAGAGGAAGACAATATTATTCCAAGTTTAACATTATTTTTTATAATTTTTCATATGCAATATCTGGAGCTCAAAGACAAATAACAACAAATGAGGAGACAAAATAATGTGATATAAAATAATGGAAAAAATAATGTTAGTTTTCAAAGAAAAATAATAAAAAGACAATAGAAATAGATATACAGGGAGTGCAGATAATAGAGTTATCAGATATAGGCTTTATAGTAACTATGAAAAATACATGCAAGGAAATAAAAAGCAAGACCATTTCAACAGAGAACTGGGAACTATAAAGAAACTTATTTGAAATTCTAGAACAGTACAGATAATACAAATTTAGAGTTCAATGGATGAAACTTGACAGAGATTAGATATAGATAAAGGCAGAAAATATCCAGAAAAAAATAGAGAGGCAAAGAAATGGAAAATATAGAAAATCATACAAAACATAGAGAACACAGTGAAGAAGTCTGTATACATGTAATTGAATTCCCTGAAAAAGAGGCAAGAGAAACTGTGGGGCAGAAACAATATTCCTAGAGATAATAACTGGGAATTTTAAAAAGCTGATAAAACATATAAGACCACAGATTTTAAAAACTCCACAACCCCAGGCAATCAAAATACAAAGAAAACACATCTAAGCACATTATAGTAAAATTGCTGAAAATTGAAGACAAAAGTATAACTTCAGAAACAATCAGAAGAAAAGAAAAACTACTTTCAAATGACTAAGATTAGCAACTGTCTTCTCAACAAAAACAGTGAAAGCCATAAAATAAGGAAACGATATCTTTGAATTGCTGGGAGGAAAAAACAACTATAAAGAAAAACAAGTACTGTCAACCAAAAGTTCTATAACCAGAGGAGAAATGCTTCGTAAATGATGGTGAATACATATATAATATACTCTATCAAAATCTCAACTGGCATTTTTTTTTTGCAGAAATTAACGAATTGATCTGTCTTAGTCAGAGTTCTCCAGAGAAACAGAACAAATAGTATATATGGATTATAGAAGCTGAGATGTCTTGAGATCTGCAGCTGGAAAGCTGGAGACCCAGGAAAGCCAACAGCATAGTTCTAGTTTCAGTATAAAGGCCTGATAATCAGGTGGGCCAATTTTATAAGTTCCAGTCTGAGTACAAGTCTGAAGGCAGGAGAAAACCGATGCCTAAGCTTGAAGAGAGTCAGGCAGAGAGAGTGAATTCTCCATTGCTCAGGGTTGTTTTGTTGTTTTTGTTTTTGTTTTGGAGACAGAGTCTCACTCTATCACCCAGGGTGGAGTGCAGTGGTGCAATCACAGCTCACTGCAGCTTCGACCTCCTGGGGGCTGAGGTGATTCTCCCACCTCAGCCTTCTTGGTAGCTGGGACTACAGGTTCACATCACCACACTTGGCTAATTTTTTATATTTATTTTAGAGATGAGGCTTCACCATGTTGCCCAGACTGGTCTTGAACTCCTGAGTGCAAGTGATCCTCCCACCTCGGCCTCCCAGATTGCAGGGATTACAAGTATAAGCCACTGTGCCCAGCCTCAGAGCTTTTATTCTATTCAGGCCTTCAGCAAGTCGGATGAGGCCCACCTACATTGGGGAGGAAAATCTGCTTTACTCAGTCTACTGATTCAAATGTTAACCTCATCCAGAAACACCATTATAGACATACCCAGAATAATGTTTAACCACATTTCTGCATATCCTGTGACCCAGTCAGGTTGACACATAAAATTAACATCACATGATCTTAAATTCATATGAAATTAAGGGAACCCAGAAGAGCCAAAATAATCTTGAAAAAGATAAACAACGTTGGAAGACTCACATTTCCCAGTTTCAAACTTATTACAAAGCTATGGTAATTAAGACAGGCTCATACTGGTAAAAGACTAGACATGCAGATCAATGAAATAGTGTTGAGAGCCCAGAAATAAATCCTTACATTTATGGTCACTTGATTTTTCAACAAGGGTGACATTACTATTCAATGGGGAAAATAATAGTCTTTCCAACAAATGGTGTTGGGACAATTGGATATCCATAAGTAAAAGAATGATGCTGGACCCCTATTCACAACATATACAAAAATTGACTCAAAATGGCTGGGCCTGGTGGCTCATTCCTGTAATCTTAGCACTTTGGGAAGCTGAGGCAGGCAGATTGCTTGAGCCCAGGAGTTTGAGACCAGCCTTGGCAATATGGTGAAACTCCATCTCTACAAAAAATATAAAATATTAGCTGGGTGTGGCAGCGTGTGCCAGTAGTCTCACTACCCAGGAGGCTGAAGTGGAAGGATCAACTGAGCCTGGGAGAGTGAGGCTGCAGTGAGCTGTGATCGTGCCACTGCACTCCAGGCTGGGTGACAGAGTGAGACCCTATCTCAAAAAAAAAAAAAAAAAAAAAAAAAGCCGAAGTATAAAATTTATATAAGAAAGCAGTAATTATTTATGACCTTGGATTAAGCAAAGCTTTCTTAGATATGACACTAAGAGCAGAAGCAACATGAGAAAAAAAAGATAAATTGGAGTTCATGAAAATTTTAAACTGTATGCTTTAAAGGACACCATTGGCCGGGCATGGTGGCTCACGCCTGTGATCCCAACTCTTTAGAAGGCTGAGGCAGACAGATCACCTGAGGTCAGGAGTTCAAGACCAGCTTGGCTAACGTGGTGAAACCCCATCTCCACTTTTTAGTTGAATTTTTAATACAAAAATTAGCCAGGCATGGTGGCCTATGCCTGTAATCCCAGCTACTTGAGAGGCTGAGGCAGGAGAATTGCTTGAACTCGGGAGGTGGAGATTGCAGTGAGCCAAAATCATGTCACTGTGCTCCAGCCTGGGTGACAGAGTGACTCCATCTCACACACATAAAAAAAGGACACTATCAAGAAAGTAAAAGACAATTGACAGAATGAAAGAACATATTTGCAAATTATATTAGATGAGGAACTGACATAGTTTGGATATTTGTCCCCTCCCAAATCTCGTGTTGAATTGTAATACCCAATGCTGGAAGTGGGGCCTGGTGGGAGGTGTTTGGATTATGGGAGCAATCTCTTATGGCTTGGTGCTGTGTTCATGACAGTGAGTGAGTTCTTGCGAGATCTGGTTGTTTATAAGTGTGTGACACCTCCCCATCAGCTCTCTATCTCTTGCTCCTGCTTTTGCCAAGTGAAGTGCCTGCTCCTGTTTCACCTGCTGTGAGTAAAAGCTTCCTGAGGCCTCCCGAGAAGCCAAGCAGATGTCAGCACCATACTTGTACAGCCTGCAGAACCGTGAGCCAATTAAACCTGTTTTCTTGATAAATTATCCAGGCTCTGGTATTTCTTTTTTTCTTTGAGATGGAGTCTCGCTCTGTCGCCCAGGCTGGAGTGCAGTGATGGGATCTCGGCTCACTGCAAGCTCCACCTCCTGGGTTCACGCCATTCTCCTGCCTCAGCCTCCTGAGTAGCTGGGACTACAGGTGTCCGCCACCATGCCCGGCTAATTTTTTTGTATTTTTAGTAGAGACGGGGTTTCATGGGTTAGCCAGGATGGTCTCGATCTCCTGACCTCGTGATCTGCCCACCTCAGCCTCCCAAAGTGCTGGGATTACAGGCTTGAGCCACCGCGCCCGGCCTCTGGTATTTCTTAATAGCAGCACAAGAATAGCCTAATACAGGAACTTAGCCTACAGAAAATGTAAAGAACATTTAAAACTCAATGATAAAAAGACAATCCAGATTGAATAGACGTCTCACCAAACAAACAAAAAGATGTATGAATGGCCAATAAGCACATGAAAAGATGCTCAACATCATTAGTCATTAAGGAGAGTCAAATCAAACCTACAATGCAGTAACACTACACATCCACTAGGACGGCTCAAATATAAAAACATAGCCAACAATAAGTGTTAATGAGGATGTGGGGAAGTTGGAACCCCCATACGTTGCTTTATAATCCCATTGCTAGTGGGATTGTAAAATGGTGCAGAAACTTTAGAAAACAGTCTGGCAGTTTCTCAAAATGTGAAACATGGAGTTACCATATGACTTAGCAATTGCACACCCAGGTACCCAGGTATTGAAAGAGAGTTGAAGAGATGCCCACACAAAAACATGGACACAAAAGTTCATAGCAGTATTATTCATGATGGTCAAAAAGTGGAAACAATGCAAAATCCTTTAATTGATGAATGTATAATGAAATGTGGTACATACAATAGAATTATTCAGTAATAAAAAGGAAAGAAGAACTGATACATGCTACAACGTGGATGCACTTTGAAAATATTAAGCTAAGTGAAAGAAGCCAGTCACAAAAGCTACATAGTGTATGATTCCATTTATATGAAATGCTTATAATATGATTCCATTTATATGAAACATTCAGAACAGGCAAATCTATAGGGACAAAAAGTGAACCAGACTTCCAGCGAAGGAATGGGAAGAGTCAGGAATGACTGCTAATGTGTATAAGGCTTCTTTCTGGATGATGAAAATGTTCTGAAATTAGTGATGCTGGTTGCACAACTCTGTGAAACTACTAAAAACTGCTGAATTGTATACTTTGAAAGGATGCATTTTATGGGTATGTGAATTATGGCTCAATAAAGCTATTATTAAAAAACAAAGATGAAATAAAAACATTTTCAGGTCATCAAACATTAGGGGAAAGTAGAAATAGTTATTTAATTCACAATGATTTTAGAACAAAATGATTTGGCTTGTTAGAAGATGATTGCATTCACATCTACTTTCATTACTATTGTTAATCAAAAAAGAGCTTGCTCATTGAATTTGGTCCTGAAGTTTTCATGTCATATTCTCTTATGACTTGTTTTGGTATTAGATTCCTGTTATCATTTTAAAGCAACTTTACAGTCTCCTGAAACAGACTGGTAAGAACTGGGATTAATCACAGTATATTTTGTTGTTTCTATCTGGGTTACTATTATGAACACTTTATCAGGTAGTTGTCTTTTAAAAATCATATAGTTAAAGGGTGAAAAGTTGCTTGCAGTTGTCTAGCCTCTCTGATCTAAGCTCTTTTTGTTAGGGAAAGGCATTGAATGTGGCACAGGAATATATAAAAATAAAATTAGCAATTGTTAATAATAGCTAATTTTTATTTTTTTCTTAAGTATTAAAAAAATAGAGATGTGGTCTCTCTATGTTGCCCAGGCTGGTGTCAAACTCTTAAGCTGAAGGGATCTTCCCACCTTGGTCTGCCCAAAGTGCAGGTGTTAGCCACCGCTCCCAGCAACTAATAGCTTACTCTTTCTAGTGCTTACTAATGTGTCCAGCTCTCTTCTCTGTGCTTTGCCTGTATTTTCTCATTTCACTCTCATAAATACTTATGAAGCAGGTGATATTGTTATTTCCACTTCACAGATGAGGAAACCGAATCAAAGAAGAATCAAGTAACTTATTCAATTATTTTAATAATCATTCAAAGTCACATAGCTAGTAAGTTGCAGAGCCAGGAATACAAACACACCGTGTGACTCCATAGTCTGCATGTTTTCCAGAACACTGTACTGCCTCCCAAGTATTTAAACTTGGAGTCAGAGACCTGGGATGAATTCTAGGTAGTTCCATTTTCTGGTTCTATGAGCTTAGGCAAACCACCAAATTTCCCTTTGCCTTGGTTTTATAATCATAATACAGAAATAATGATATCTGCTCTGTCTTATAGGGTTTTTGTGGGTATCAAATTGTAGAAGTACTTTGTAAAGCATTACACGACCAACTGGCTCACTGGACTGGAGTTGAAACTCCCCTGCTCCCTCCCTCCAAGAAACCCAGCCAGTAGAGCTAGCTCCCCTTCCCCTAGAAGTATTCATTTGCCTCCATTGAATTACAGTGGGGCTGAAGAACTTTCTGGGGAAAAGGCTTGAACTCTGTTCACACTTGGGATTCAACACTCATAGACATGGCTGATAGATCAGAGCATACAGAATCCAGATTACAGGGGGTTAATGGCAACCCCTACCCCTTAAAGAGGATTCACCTTGAGAAAGAAAGGAGTGTGACATGTGAGCTGTGCTCAGTAACAGGAACCAATGTCACTGATATTGATGAATTCCAGTCCCATGTTACGAGAAACTCCTCCAAACCAACCACTGTGGAGGTATGTGGGCATCCTGGGGCCAAGCAGGTCTCAGAGTGTACATTGAGAAAGCTGCTTCACTGAACTCTGCAACACTTTGGACTCAATCTCCCTATTGGGGTGAATGTGACCTTGCAAAATTTTTTGGCAGGAGCAATTTAGCACTGAGAAGCTGCTGAGGAGAACCCTCTTCTCACCACCAGTGGGGTCACACATGGAGCTTGCAATAGCTAGCTCAGCCAGCCCTGAAAGCACAGACTGCCTCATGGGCTTGGAAGAAACATCCCTTTGAGAATTCTCAAAACACTCTAGGGACAGACTCCCCAAGAGCCTGCTATGTTTATATGAGCAGATGGAACGACAGAATTTCAAGATTTTTTATTTCTAATTTTTAATCACAGGCTGTGGAAATATGAACATTCAGGTTATGCTATTCCAAATTACTTTTATTATTTTATTGTGGGAAAACAGAATTCAGTTAACTAGGATTAAGCAACAAAATCCACTTCCTTGTGGGATCATCTCTCTGGGCTAGGAAGAGGGATGGAGACTTTTCAAGGCAGAGATTGCTCCATGGAGGAAAACACCTTCTCTTCATTTTCATGAGTAATAAGTTTCCCAAGAGGATATTTTTTGGAAGTTGAAGGCAGAATTTAAATGGAAAGCCCCACCCACTGTTGCTGGAAGCAACTTCTCTTCATCCTTTCTTTGACTTTTGATGCTTCCCTGGATCTGATTATTTAGCGGTGGGCAAAGGCTGGAGATAAGAAGCCAAAAGATAAGATTTCAGTGTAAGAATTCACGTCATTTTCATTTCAAGTACCATATATGAGCTTTTTCAGGGACACAAACTCTAGTTGCTCTTATTCTGGGGCAAGCTCGGACCTGCCAGGCCTTAGCCTGCCTTTCTTTGCCAGTTTTAAAATCCATGTAGTAAGTGTGTGTGCTGTAAGTCTTTGTGTGTATGAGTGTGTGTGTGTGTCTGTGTGGCTGTTGGCTCATCCTAAACTTTTTACTGGCATCTTAGGCTTCTGCAAGTAGAAGATTCTCTACATTAGGAGTCCCCAACTCCTGGCCCACAGACCAGTATCCATCTGTGGCCTGTTAGAAACCAGGCTGTGGCCGGGTGCAGTGGCTCATGCCTGCAATCCCAGCACTTTGGGAGGCTGAGGCGGGTGGATCACGAGGTCAGGAGATCGAGACCATCCTGGCTACCATGGTGAAACCCCGTCTCTACTAAAAACACAAAAAAGTTAGCCGGGCATGGTGGCGGGTGACTGTAGTCCCAGCTACTCGGGAGGCTGAAGCAGGAGAATGGCCTGAACCTGGGAGGCAGAGCTTGCAGTGAGCTGAGATTGCGCCACTGCACTCCAGCCTGGGCAACGGAGTGAGATTCCTACAATTAAAAAAAAAAAAAAAGAGAGAGAGAAAGAAAGGAAGGAAGGAAGGAAGAAACAAAGAAAGAAAGAAACCAGGCTGCACAAAAGGTGAGTGGTGGGTGAGTGAGCGGAGCTTCATCTGTATTTACAGCCACTCCCCATCCCTTGCATTCCCACCTGTGCTCTGCCTTCTATCATATCAGTGGCAGCATTAGCTTCTCATAGGAGCACAAATCCTATTGTGAACTGTGCATGCGAGGGATCTAGGTTGCATGCTCCTTATGAGAATCTAATGCCTGGTGATCTGTCACTGCCTCCCATCACCCCCAGATGAGGCTGTCTAGTTGCAGAAAAACAAGCTCAGGACTTCTAGTGATTCTATATTATGGTGAGTTGTATAATTATTTCACTGTATATGACAATGTAGTAATAATAATAAAAATAAAGTGCACAATAAATGTAATGTGCTTGAATCATCCTGAAACCTAATCCCCCAACTCCTGTTTGTGGAAAAATTGTCTTCCATGAAACTGGTCCTTGGAGCCAAAAAGGTTGCAGACTGCTGCTCTACATCACCCCTACCAGGAGCGAAAAGCCCTTTTCTGCAGGTCAGCTTTCAGTCTTCCATCCATCATCCCTTACAGAGCTTTCTTCTCATTATGTGACCCCTAAGTGAACTGAGCAGCCCATTGCTAAATCCCAAAGTGGTCAGCATCATGCTATAACCTGACCTCACCCAGTTGAATGCATCATTAACTCCATGTTCAAGGAGAAAGCAATGCTTTCCATTAAAGAAGGAATTTGAGAATCTCTGTGACTTATAATGAGTTGACTAACTAGCATATAGAATCAAAGTTTACCTATAGCAGAGTCTAAATTCATTGAGCTTTCTGGAGCTTTATCTATAGCAGTCTAAATTCATTTGTTCCTAGCAAAGTCTAAATTCATTCTAAACACTTTTAAAGTGTTTAGAATCCTTCTCCCTTCTAACATCCCTTCTGCATTAGTCAGGTTAGCCTAAGTTATGCTGTAGAAGCAAACAACTCCTTAATGTCTCTCAGCAGCATATTACAACAAAAGTTATTTCTCACTTATTTTATATATGGAATAGATGTTAGCATGGGGACTCTCCTCATCATGGGTACTCAGGGACAGGCTGCAGGAAATGCTATCATCCTGTAATAATGCTGCCATCTCAACATGGCAGGGGATGAGAGAGTGTGGACGATTGTGTGCTGGCTCTTAAATGCTTCCTTCAAGCATGACATGTGTTTCTTTCACTTATATTTCACTGGTCTAAACAGCCACATGGCCACGTCTAACTTCAATGGAACAGTGAAGTGCAATTTTCCTGTGTTCCAAGAAGTGGAAGACTATAAATGTGAGCGAACAACTGTAATGTCTATCATACCTTTAAGTGGATATCCAGCCTTGAATACCTTCAGGTTTAAAAGTCTTTATTCTTGCGGTGATATTAACCTGCCAAATGCAGATTTCAAGTCATCCTGAACACTTCTGACAGCAAGTATCTTACTCACGATTTGTTTGTTTATTTAACAAGCTGCTACACTGTGCTGAGCAGTGTGAGCAAAAGAGAAGAACATAAGATCTGTTCCTTTGCGGTCCCATGATCTTAGCCCAGGAGAGAAAGAGAGAGAAGACTAAGTGCCACCAAAGAAGTTCAAATTGCTACATTGTTTAGAGGTGACAGAAATTCCTTGCAGCTTTTGGGAATGGCTTCAAGGAATTGGCCTTGAAGTACTGCTAAAAAATTTTTAATGTAAGTCTCAACCTCTCTTTCTAAATTGGTGTTTGTAGAATTCTTTTATTCTTTGTTTTGCAAATACAAAATAGCTTAAAGATGAAAATAAAAGCCTGCCAAGCCTGTAATCTTATTCCTTCAAAATAAGCATTCTTAAAAAGGTGTGTGTGTGTATTACACATATGTACACACACATGCTTGTATATGCATATATGTATATGTATACATACATATACATGTAATCTGCTTTTGACAGTCAGCAACATATGCCATGTTTCTATGTTGAAGCAATAAAGGGTGGCTAGTGTTTGGCTGGTGGCAAGAACATTTCAGATCCAGCCTAACAGAGGCATAGAGGCACGAGGTGAAGATGAAACGCTCAGTTTTGCTGGTACCATGGTGTGTGGAAGTGTAGAAGAGAGAAAGCTGGGAAGGTGAATGGATTGGGTCTCAGAGAATGTGCAGTGCCAGGTAGGGGAATTTCAACAATTTTCAGTGGGCAATAGTGAAACTAAAGATTTATTTAAATTTACAACAACTTTTCTAAAAGCCTTGCATTTTGTATAACTTGGAGACTACAGTTAAGCTATAGAGAAGGAAAACTCCCATGATCTCACCACTCAAAGATAATCTTGTTAACATCTCAGCATTTATATTTCTAGCTCATTTTCAACACTTTTGCCCATTTTATCTTTTACAAAAGTGGGATCCTACTGCATATGTCATCTGTAACCTGATTTTTTTAAATCTAAAATTTTATAAAAGTTTTTTTAAGAATGTAAATATAAATTATTTTGAGTGGTGGAATAGCATTCTATTACATGGACTTTTACCCATAGAAATAACCAATTAAAGATCACACAAAAGGAAAAAGCAATTGAATTATCCTCCTCCTTAAATACATTTCATTTACCTGGTTTTGAAATTAAAAATTGATTCATGAACATTTAATGAACATTAATTTCATGAACATATACATTCTATAAACCCCTCCCACCCACCCAGCATACTGGTTTGCAAAAGTAGAACAAAAGAGCAATGGGTTGTGGGGAGAGGAGGGAGGAACTTTCCTTATCAGAAACCAAAAATGATTTGGTGGCTGAGGAATAATATGATCAGACTTGTGCATTTAGAAGAATCTCCTAGATGAGGGACAGGGATTTTAAAGGGGAATGAAACTGGAAGAGAGTCTATAAGATAGACGGGATAGGGATCATTTTCCTTCTTGGACAGAATGAGGCACGTGGCACAGAGAAAGTAAGTGGCTTGTTCAAGGTAGCAGGATATGGCTGCTCTAAGGATAAGACTATGATATCCTCATCCACAGATCCAGAACTCTCTCCTGTGCTGGCCTAATCGCAGATTCTGTTTCCCTGGCTTTCTATGTCCAGACAGGTGGTCATAGCATCACTTTTTGGGTTTTTACTCTTACGCTGGGAACACGTGCAAAGCAGATCAGTATTTAATAATGCCATTGGATGCAGGCCACATCTCAGCCTGTGGCCATTGCCTGAGCAAAAATGAGAAATATTTGGCAAAGATCTTTGGGCAAATAGCCTGGGAGACAATTTGACCTTGTACATAATTAGATTTGTGAACCAGTCTAATTACATAGTAGTAATTATACGACTAGACTCACACCAGTACTTTCCACCACCAAATGTGTGAGATTTTTTCTCACACTAACCAATTCTTCATTCTCGGTGGACACCAAATGGATGGCTACAACTCAATTAAAGTCCGACACTATTTACCAGGGGATAGCATCAGATCCCACGGGTTAAGGGTTCAATCTCACAAGACTGCTCCCATTTCAGACAGCAATGACAAGTCCCAGTTATCACCTGTGCTTCTGACCGAACAGCCATAAATCGGAGGTTCCCATGACACCGTCTTCTGGTTTGATCATACGCTAAAATGGCTCACAGAAACCAGGAAAATAATTTACTTATCAGATTACCATTTATTATGAAAGGATACAACTCACGAACAGCTAGATGGAAGAGATGCATTGGGCAAGGTATGTGGAAAGGGGCACAGAGCCTCCTTGCACTCTCTGGGGCACCCCCCTCCCAGTACCTGCATGTGTTCACCAACCCAGAAGCTCTCCAAACCTCTTCCTTTAGGGTTTTTGTGGAGGTTTCATTACAGAGGCATGACTGATTAAATCATGAGGCATTGATCATTGACTCAGCCTTCACTCTCCCTCCTCTTCCTGGAGGTGGGATGGGGTGGGGTGGGGTGGAGTGAGTAGGGCTGAAAGCTCCAACCCTCTTATCTCATGGTTGATTCCCTGGCAAACAGCTCCCATCCCTAGGCTATCCAGGAACCCCCAGCTGTCAGTCACGCGTTAGCATAAAAAAGACACTATCATTGGTGAGATTCCAAGGGTTTTAAAAGCTGCCAAGAAAGGGAGAGGGTTATGTCACACCAGTCAAATAAAATTCACTATTTCAACAAATGCTTACTAAGCTCCTGTCCTGTGCCAGCTTCTGAGGGGAATTCTGACATGGATAATACTCAGTTCTAGTGCCCAGGGAGTTCACAGCCTGGTGAAGGAGACACAACCAGGGTGCAGGGAAGGATCGCCTGGGTGCCATCAAAGGGGGACTAGCAGCACTCCTAGGAGCACAGGAGAGGGGAGATTAACACTGTCCAGAAATCCGAAAATCTCTTTGTAGGTGTGGAGAGTGGACCTGGATAGGAGGAAAGGGAGGGTGCTATTTTAGGAGTACAGTAGTCTCCCTTTATCTGTGGTTTCACTTCCTGTGATTTCAGTTACTGACGTCAACAGTGGTTTGAAAATATTTATTACATGGAAAATTCCGGAAATAAACAATTCATAAGTTTAAATCGCGTGCTACTCTGAGCAGCGTGATAAAGTCTCGTGCCATCCCGCTCCGTCCTGCCTGGAACGTCAGTCCTCCCTTTGTCCAGCGCATCCGACTGTCACAATACAACAGTGCTCATGTTCAAGTCACCCTTATTTCACTTAGTAACAGCCCCACAGCACAAGAGTAGTGACGCTGGCATATTGTTATAATTGTTCTATTTCACTATTTGTTATTCTTGTTAATCTCTTTGTGTTTAAACTTCATCACAGATATGTATGTATAGGAAAAGAAAAGACATCGGATACATGGGGTTTGGTACTATTTGCAGTTTTAGGCATCTACTGGGCATGATCCACTGATCAATGGTCTTGGAACGTGTCTGCCATGGATAAGGGGAGTCTACTGTATTGATTCTGATTAATGCCTGAGAATGGGATGTTATTTCATTCACACGGAAGCCTTTTTCCTTTCTTCCATTCTTTCTTCCTTTTTAAAAAAATCTCCTTCAGAAAAAAAAGCAACCCTGGATATATGAGACAGGGGGCAGGGTGACACAGGGGAAATAAACCACAGTCCTTTACCTGGATCTACTCAGAAGACTCTGTAGCTACTATTTCCCCAACATGTACCATGCCATGTATTTATTTGAATACTCATGTCCTTGTGACTCAAAGTTGATGTTCTACAGGTCGTGGGAGGTCCAGGATCCTGACTCTTGGGAGGCAGTTGCAGTTCAGAACTGGCTTTCTCTTGTGGTTCTTTTTCCTGCAATTGTACAGGAGGCTTGGCTTAGAAAGTGAGACCCTGGCCCTTCTTCTCTCCCCCCCATTCCTGTCTGCAGCCCTGTGGGATCAGTAGCACCCTAGGTCCCCTTGGGAGCCCTGAAGTTGTATTTACATAGCTTGTTCCCATTGATTTGCATGAATTATTACACGAAAGAACAATCAGTGGTCCTCTTTCTTCTAGCGGCTTCCAGAACCACCTGCTCTTTGGTCCTGTCCAGTAACTATGTGGATGCCGAATGTGGAGGCTACCAGGGTCTCCATCAATCACCTCTCCCGGCTTTATTTTTGCTGGTGAATTCCTAGTCAGGCTTCAAATTTCAGATCGAATGTCACTTCCAATGGAAAGCCTTCCCGCATCTTCCAGCACTGTGCCAGCACTGAGGGAGATTCTGCCTCATCTTGCTGTTGCCACAGGCTCCATCCTTCTGCTAATAGCACCTGTCTTAGTTTGCTTTTGGTTTCTTATAACAGAATACCTGAAATTCGGTAATTTATAAAGAAAAGGAATTTATTTCTTATAGTTATGGAGGCTGGGAAGTCCAAGGTCAAGAAGCCACATCTGGTGAGGGCTCTCTTGTTGGTGGAGACTCTGCAGAGTCCCGAGGTGGCACAGAGCATCATATGGAAAGGGGGCTGAGTATGATAGCTCAGCTTTGTCTTCTTCTTGTTTTAAAGCCACCAGTTCCATTCCCATGATAACCCGTGAATCCATGAATAGATGAGTCAATCTGTAAGGGCAGAACCCTCAAGACCCATTCGCCTTTTAAAGGTCCCACCTCTCAATACTGCCACACTGAGGATTAAGTTTCAACATGAGTTTTGGAGGGAATGTTCAAACCATAGTGGTACCCATGACACAGTGTTGCCATTTATCTGTTTGCAAGTGTATCTCCACTCTACTGAGTCATTAAAGCACAAGGACTGTGTCTTAATTTATTTTAAAATAGCTTTTTAAATATATAATTTACATACCATAGGTTATCTGTTTAAAGTGCACAGTTCAATTTTTTTTTTAAATATAGACACAGAGTTGTGCAACCATCACCGTATCTAATTTCAAAACATTCTGTTACTCTCCAAAGAAACATTGTATTCCTTAGTAGTCACTCCTTTCCTCCCACCCACCCTATTCTTAACTCTCAGCCCTGGGCAACCATTCATCTATATTCTGTGTCTATAAATTTGCCTTTTCTGGACATTTGACATAAATGTTTTCATAGTAATTTATTTTTTGTACACTCTATTCTGCCATTCAGTAGGTGCTTAGGAAATGTTTGTTCGATGAATGAATGAATGTACTAAAGATTGAGAAACTGCTTGGAAGCATGGCACCGGGGAAAGAACACTGGACCAAAAGCCAGAAGACCTGCACTCTAGGCCTGGTTATGTCATTTATTTATGTGACTTAGAGAAAATCACTTGACCTTTCTGACTCTCAGCTTTCTAGTCTGTAAAGGAGGGATAATAATATCTGCCCTCCTTATTTCAAAAGTCCACAGTAAGTGTCAGATGAAAAAAATCACTTGGAAATATTTTGTATAGCTCTAAGCAGGCTGTACAGATGTAAGAATAATTTATGTTTGTGTTTACTCTCATCCCTTGAAATGCCTATAAAAATAAATCACTTATTACACGAATGACACAGGGAGAAGGAAGAACGACAGAATGCCAGTCTAAGGAGATCAACCAGTGGGATATGGGCTCCTGGAATGACTGCAGTTAACTCAGGGAAAAGAGCTAACAAATGCCCTGGTTATCCCATATCCATTACCACATGCATTTCCCAGCCAAATGGGAAGATAAAAATCTGTTCTCGAGTGAAAATTAAACTCAATTCACTGGAAGAAAAATGATCATATAATTTCCTCTTATCTTTTTGCTCTTAGGAAATTCTAGTTAATATGCTAATTACTTTCTGTTTTGCAGGGCCTTTGCATCCATCGCAAAGAGGGGAGATTCAGGTTTAAGAGTGAGCTCTTTATTGCCTCACACAGAAGTGGAAGTGGAGAAGGAACTCTGGTCCATGGTGGCTCAGTCTCTTTCTCTCCCTTTAGGTTTAGAGGACTTTGTAGGGGGAATGTGAGTATATTTATTTCTCAAATGTGAAATTCAGGCTCTGCAGAGAGATATACAGGACAGAGATAGGATAAGATTATTAGAATAAAACCTCTGAATCTAATAAGGAGTAGTTTGGAGGAAAAAAAAACAGTCTTGTATGTGAAGATTTATCTTTAGATAAACTTTTCTTCCACCCAACATTTGTAAAACTCCCCAAGTTCCATCCTTTCGTAGAGGTTAGCAGAGCCTCAGACCTTGGTCTGATCCAGGAGAGTTTGGATAAAAATATATGAATCTGGACAAAAGGGCCAGCCCCACTTCCTTCAACCTCTTAAAGTCTGAGACTTGGGGCTTTCCCAGAGGTGGGCCAGTGAGCCAGGTCTCCCCACTGTTTCCACCTGGCCTTTGGGCACTGCCTTCCAACTTGTCACCTTGTTTTTCCCATTCCCCTGATCATCTGATCAGCCTACTGCCTCCTTTCCCAATAAGGTCATGTTCTTCTCTTCCTCTGCTCCTATTCCAGCTATTTCCCCCATAGCCACTGCTTCCTTCTAATCCAGGGTTTCTTACCCTCAGCACTATTGACCTTAGGTCATATAGTTCTTTGTGATGAGGGGCTGTCCTGTGGCCCATAGGATGTTTAGCAGCATTCCCAGCCCATTCCACTAGATACCAATAGCACCTCCCAGTTATGACAACCAAAAATATCTCCAGACATTGCCCAGTACAGATGGGCATGAAGTATGAAGTATGAAGTATGAAGTATGAAGTCACCTTATTTAGATCCCCTAAACCAGTCCTTCCTCCCTTCATCTGGAGCTCTTGTTTATTAAACATTTACCATGGAGAAGACACTGAATTAAATCTTTCATGCGTTTTATGCTGATGGTTCTCAAAATTTAATGAACATAAGCATCACCTTGGAAGGTTCTTAAACTACATATTCTAATTCAGTCATTTTTTCGGGGAAGGGCTTGAGATTCTACTTTACTTTTATTTATTTTTTTCGAGACAGGGTCTTGCTCTGTCACCCAGGGTGTAATGCAGTGGCAAGATCATGGCTCACTGCAGCCTTGACCTCCCAGGCTCAAATGATCCTCCTGCCTCAGCTTCCCGAGTAGCTGGGACCACAGGCATGTGCCATCACAACGAACTAATTTTTATTTATTTTTGCAGACAGGGTCTTGCCATGTTGCCTAGGAGGACCTCAAACTCCTGGGCTCAAGCAATCCTCCCACCTTGGCCTCCCAAAGTGCTGGGATTACAGACGTGAGCCACTGTACCCAGCCCAAGATTGTACATTTCTAACAAGGTCCCAGATAATGCTATCACTGCTGGCTCATGGGCCACACTTGGTGAGCAAAGCTGCAGGTCATCACATCCTCATGGTCTTATGAGGACTCTATTTCACAAGTGAGGAAGGTGAGCCTCAGAGGGCTCATATGTGGCTCGATCACCTTTTGAACCCAGGTCTGCCTGCCTCCAAAGCTTGTACTCATAACTAGATTCTCAACTGATGTTGGGCCAAGGTTCCTAGGTTCTCTCCTTGACCTTCCTTCTGAAGTAATAATGCTATGATAAGCTCATCGGAGGCTGAGGCCCAGGCACATGTTTGCCTGAACTATCCATGTTATATGATTCCTTCCTCAGACAGAGTGAGCTACTCACGATCCCAGGTGTACCCTGAGGCCAGCCAAGGTGTATCCATGACCTCATGCCTCTGTTCCAGCCTGCCCTTTAACAGCTCATCCCACCTGCCTGCCCTCCCCGCCTATCTGCAGACAGTAGTCTAGGATTTCAGCTGCCCTGGGGGCTCATTTTCCCTCTCAGCTTCCTGCTTTAGCTGTCTCCTGCCTCCCACTCACCTATTACTCCAGCACTCTCACCTGGTCTTCTTTTCTGTCTCATCACTGCCTCTTGACATCTTTATCTCATAGTAGTTAGTTAGGGGTTCTTGGTAATGCCCTAAATCCACATGGTGGGAAGGGGGGAGTGGGGGAAGAGAGTGCGCTGTGGGGCTGTGCCTACTTCTGGAGGGTAAGACTCGGGCCCTCCAGGAACAAAGGATTCAGGCTGGTGGCAGCTATAGCCAAGCAGACTGCTGGCCAGGGATTGCAAAGGAGTATTTTGTTTGCTTAAGAAAATAAACAACACTGAGTATGAGATGGAGGGAGGGGGTGTTGGTGCCAGAGAGATTGGGAAGAGTCTGCCAAGGGTGTGTTCTACTCACTCTCCTCTTTTCTTTCATCTCCACTGAGCTGGAGGCAGTTATCCTGTCCCCCACGTCACATTCCTACTCCCGTTTCCCATGCCTGGACCCAGGTTGGGCAAACTCTTCCTGTAAAGAACCAGACAGGAACTATTTTAGGCTCTGTGTGCCATATGGTCTCAGTCACAACTACTCATCTCTGCCTCTGTAGCACGAAAGCAATTAGCAACAATATGTCAACAAACATATGTGACCCCATGAAAACTTTATTTATTATGGATACGGAAACCTGAAAATAATGTCTTTCTTTTGATTTTTTCCCCAATCATTAAAAAACGTAAAAACTACTCTTAGGTCGCAAGGTTAAGCCATTCTCAGCTTAGCAGTGGCAGGCTGGATTTGGCTTGTGACCTACAGTTGGCCAATCCCTGATTCCCAAAATGTATTCCTCAGGGATGTGGGCAAATACTTATGGGAAATGCTGGATTAAACAGAGTTAAGAAGCATCAGACATTTCCAGGACGGGCTAGCACATGCCAGGGCTCTCTAACTGACCTCATTAGGATTCATCTGTTTCATGGAGGATCTTGCAAGACAAGAATTCCTCAAACCTAGAGTCTGAGGACTGTGCTTTGGGAAACACTGCTCTGCTTGATGCCCTCACTGGGCACATGGTAGAATCTAGAGCTGAGTGCCTTGCTAGCTGGAGATAGGGTCAGAGCTCTTGACTGCCCTGGCAGTCTTGACACATCACGCTGTCTGTGTCCCCTGAGTGGTTCAGAGCCACACAGGCCAAGACTAGCCCACCAGAGCACCAGGCCTCCCAGCTTTCTGGGCTTGTCCATGCGTACATTTCCTTATTCTTCCTGGTTTCCAGAACCTAAGGAGAGGCACATTTTGGTTGAGTGATTATAACCCTAGGGACCATGGGTAGCTGCATGTCAGGAAACACTCCTCAACTTCCTGGCCCTGATGGATTAAAGGAGAGGTACTTACAGGTTATTTCTTCGCTGTGGACTACTGTCCCAGCATGAATAGGGCATCATTATTGAATTATTTTGACAGGAAGGAGACTGGTGTATGCTGCACAGTAATAATGTATTTACATGTGTACAGAGTTTACCAAGCACCTCTGTGTTGTTTTTGCCTCTGTTTATTACACTTGCCCTTGGGGGGAGGTGGGACAAATTTTTTAAAAATTTATACATGCAGAGACTGCAGCGCAGAGAAGCTAAGAGACTTGCCCCTGCCCACACAGCCAGTGGTAGAGCCTGAACTCAAACCCAGGTCTCATCTCACCTCAGGGGCTGCTTTCCCCATCGCTGTATTGTCCTTAAAGTGATGGGTGACTAGGCAATGAAGTAATTCTCTAGGAAAGCATGACCAATTTCCCTTTCTCCACCTCCCTCTTTTTCCTCCACCCCTCCCCCATCAGCCCCCATATATATGCCCAAATCTCCACAAAGCCTTGCTTGCCTGCAAACCTTTACTTCTGAAATGACTTCCACGGCTGGGACGGGAACCTTCCACCCACAGCTATGCCTCTGATTGGTGAATGGTGAAGGTGCCTGTCTAACTTTTCTGTAAAAAGAACCAGCTGCCTCCAGGCAGCCAGCCCTCAAGCATCACTTACAGGACCAGAGGTGAGCATGGGGGATTCTTGGTTACTTTTTTTTGAAGGACTAGACCTCTGCTTTATTTGTGAAAAGGGGTCAAGGTGGGGACAGCAGAAGTCAATTTTTTTGAGTGTTGATGTAGGGACAAGACATGACTGTGATGAGGAGCTGCTTTCGCCAATTTAACACCAAGAAGAATTGAGGCTGCTTGGGAGGAAGGCCAGGAGGAACACGAGACTGAGAGATGAATTTTCAACAGAGGCTGCAAAGCCTGTGGACTTTAGCCAGGTGCGGTGGCTCACACCTGTAATCCCAGAACTTTGGGAGGCTGAGGTGGGCAGATCATTTAAGGTCAGGAGTTCGAGACCAGCCTGGCCAACATGGTGAAACCCTGTCTCTACTAAAAATACAAAAAAAAATTAGTTGGGCATGTGTTTTTGATATTTTCAGATACAAAAATCCCAGCTACTTGGGCGACTGAGGCATGAGCATCACTTGAACCTGGTAGGCAGAGGTTGCAGTGAGCCGAGATCATGCCACTGCACTCCAGCCTGGGTGACAGACTGAAATTCTGTCAAAAAAAAAAAAAAAAAAAAAAGCCTGTGGAGTTTGAAAGAACAGAATGAAAAGACATTGAGGGAGATGCTAAAGCATAGCCCCCGTCCCCCGTGACCCATAACCCAGGGGTCGCCGCCTCCCTAGCCCAGGTACCAGCAGAACCGGGTCTTCTCTGGTCTTCCTCCCGGTGTAGGGGTGGGAGGCAGTTTCTTTAGGTGTCAGACCAGTGCCTGCAGTAAGAAAGGTTCTTAAATGATTGTGTAAAGAAGTACGAAAGAAAGGGAGAAAGTAAGAAAGGGAGGGAGCGAGAGAGGAAAGAAGGAAGAAAGAAAGGTAAGGAGGGAGGGAGGGAGAGAGGGAGGGAAAGGACAAAGGGCAAAGAAGGCAGGGGGAAAGAAATTCTCTGCATCAGTTATAATAAATACATAATGGCGTTAGGTTCCCCAGCTTGGAGGCTCTTCACTCAGTCCTTCCCAACTGGCACTTCAGAGGAAGGCTTTAGAGATGATTCATCTGGAAATCTGATGCCTCTCTCTCATTTGGTTACTAAAAAAAGTGAATTTTTAGACTCAAGAGTGAGTGGTTAGTGGAGGTGGCATAGTCTGTGTGTGACCCTGACCTGCCCTCTGTGCCCCTCCCTGGGACCAGGATTAACCCCTTGCTCCCTTGTGATGAGGAGTGAGGGACAGCCGTCTCCTGGGGAGGAGAAAAAGACCTGCCAGCCTATGTGTGCCTAGTGGCTTCAGGGCAGAACTTGGATAAGCACATGTCTAGTTCAGCTCTTTGTTTTCCTGGGTTTGGGCTCCCCAGACGTGGCACATTAGAACCTCCCATTTCTCCACTCTTCTGGGTCAAATTCTGACTCGCAGGTTGTAGGCTAGAGAGAACTGCGATGGAGAAGGAGGAGGTGCAGGGCGTGTGGGTGTGGACGGGCAAGGTGGGGAAGAGCAGGTGGACAGATGGCAAGACGAGCGGCCTTAAGTTTGAGGGGCAGAAAGACCCCTGCTTCACCCCCACTGCACCTTAGCAAGGCTGCCGGTTTGCAATAGTCTCAACTTGCCCATTGGAGAGTGCTCGAGATTGGCCCGGGGAGACCCTCGGAGCATTTTCCCAGGGCATGTAACTCTGGGTCAGAGGGCCGGCCTCACAGGCTGCCTCCCTTTCTTTCAGCAGACCCTTCTGCCCTCCTTTGCTGGCGACAGCCTCTCAAATGCAGATGGTTGTGCTCCCTTGCCTGGGTTTTACCCTGCTTCTCTGGAGCCAGGTATCAGGGGCCCAGGGCCAAGAATTCCACTTTGGGCCCTGCCAAGTGAAGGGGGTTGTTCCCCAGAAACTGTGGGAAGCCTTCTGGGCTGTGAAAGACACTATGGTGAGTAAAGTGCTGTTCTGGACCCAGTCGTGGGGGTTCCTGGGGGCAGTGGGCCAGTGGGGCGAGGGGATGCTATTTTATGATTCTGGAGTCCTTCACAGCTTGCTAATCAGTTTCCAGTTTCCCATATAATAACTCTGTGAGGTCAGAAGGCACCACAAGCCCCATTTACACATGAGGAAATTGGGGCTCAGAAAAAATGTGGGCAGCCTCGAGTGAAATAAGCAGTGCCCAAGGGAAACCATGAAGAGAGCTAGATTCATCCAGGCTTCGTCCCGAATAGAGTCTTCGGCTCTAAATCTGAGAACTGGAATGAGTGGCTGGGCTGTGGAGGAAGCTCCAAGGGCAAGAGGCAGCTCTAGGGTGCAGGCTGTCCTCCCTCACATCCTGCTTCCTCACCACATGGAATATGGAGCCAAAATCCTGCCCATAGTGGTTCTTAAAGCAGATAGGCTTATTTCCTCCCATCTCAAATGACCAGAGGCATCAAACTGCTTCCTTATCAAATCTATGTTCATGCTCTAAGAATAAGAAGAACTCCTGGGACTCCATTTGCTCCTGGGGGGCCAAGCTTAGTCATTTTCGTGGCTGCAACCTTGTCTCCCCTCCCCATGGGCCAGCTCAGCCCAGTCCTTCCTGGGTCCTCTTTTGGTCCCTCTGGCCTTTGAGATCTCACAGACTAGATAGATTTAGGGGTCTAGGGAAGCAGCACATATTTGCAGAGTTGGTTTCTATGCTGACCCCTAACCTGGAGACGTCTTTTCTTTCTGTTTGCCAAGCAAGCTCAGGATAACATCACGAGTGCCCGGCTGCTGCAGCAGGAGGTTCTGCAGAACGTCTCGGTAATCAGACCTCGGGGACACCACCCTCTGTGGGACGGGTCTACTGTGGGTGGGAGTGCAAGGCTTTCTTAGGGGAGGTTGATGAAAGCCCTTCACTTCTTCCCTGGACTGACCTTACACAGGACAGGGCCAGACTGTGAGCCAGGGAAGTCAGTGTCTGGGGTTATTGCTATGTGGTATGTGTGTGCAGTGGTACTGGGAGATGGGGAAGGTGGAGGCTTGTAAACATCTTTCTCCATTTAGCCAGAGAATTATATATTTCTCTTTTACTTGTGTAGGCCCAATAGGCATCTACTTAGGTTCATGTCCTCTCTTCCATTTTCATCCTTTTCTCTGGGTCCTTTTTCCTGGGTCCTCCTTTGGTCCATCTGGCCTTTGATGTCTCATAGACTGGATAGATTTAGGGGGTCCAGGGAAGCAGCACATATTTGCAGAGCTGGTTTCTATGCTGAACCCTAACCTGGAGACATCTTTTCTTTCTGTCATGTGAGCTCATGTGAAGTGAGCTCATGACTTAAAATAATACCTAACAAAAGGATTCATCCTTTCTTTCACCACAATCAGGTAGAGTATGTTATCAAGGATGGGTCACCATCTTCTCATCATCCATCTAGTGGGCACAAACCTACTGAGCCCTGAGCCCTGAAAGATGTGGCACTTCAGGAGCTTGAGGGGGCTAGAGTGCAATTGCTGTGTCCAAAGATATTAGTTTCTCCTCATTTCTTCTGTTCTCAGTCATTTTCCAGCAAACTCTATATCACCAAGTCCAAGTTCAAGCCCTTTTCAGGGTCCATCACATCCCCATAGCTGTTAAAGAGGCCATGTGGCATAGAAGAAAGAGAATATTAAGCAGATGGGCAGTCAGGAATCCTGGGAGCTAGGCTGTGTCTGCCACTGATTGACTATGTGAATCGGGCCAGGTCATTTCTCTCCCTGGGTCTTGGTTCCTCCTCTCAAACAAAGACCTGCTCTCCATGGCCCCTGAAGGCTCCTACAGATCTAAGGTTCATCATCACCTTCTAGAAGATCCCTATCTCTGCTGTGCTTATCTTGCCTTGGGTGGCATGTGGGTTGTTCCTTCAGGGGGTCAGGGTGGGCAGAGGCCTTGGCTCAGCAGTGACCCAGACCTTCCCCAGGATGCTGAGAGCTGTTACCTTGTCCACACCCTGCTGGAGTTCTACTTGAAAACTGTTTTCAAAAACTACCACAATAGAACAGTTGAAGTCAGGACTCTGAAGTCATTCTCTACTCTGGCCAACAACTTTGTTCTCATCGTGTCACAACTGCAACCCAGTGTGAGTAGCACACGCTCTGGATACTGGCAGCTCTGGGTTCAAGTCTAGGTCTGCTTCCAATCTGCTGGGTGACCCTCTGCAAAGTCCTCCACCTCCCTGGGCTTCAGTTTGTTATCTGTAAAATGGGGATGATCACTCCTGCCTGGCAGGATTGCTGCGAGAATTAAAGGAGGTAGCCCCTTTCACAAGGTGGGAGTTTGGTATTGGTTACCTTGGGGAATGCAGGATTCAGCCCTGGGCTCTCAGGCTTTGGGAGACCCTGTGGCATCAGCAGGAAAACTGAGAGGGAGTTTGCATCTGCTCCTATCTAAAAATTGGCACAACTTCTTTTCCCATGTTATGTAGCAAGAAAATGAGATGTTTTCCATCAGAGACAGTGCACACAGGCGGTTTCTGCTATTCCGGAGAGCATTCAAACAGGTAAGGCCAAGAGCTGAGAGCTTGCCCATCCAGCAGAATAGACTAGTCTGCACCATCACACGAGGGCGCCTCAGAGACCCAATGCAGAATGTAATGCAGGGGACACCATCAGCTTTGCTCCAAAGCCCCCTGACTTAGCAGGAGCACAGTTATATTTGCAGAAGCATCGTAAACTAAGTGGTCTTTTTTCTTCCAGTTTTCAAGTTAAAGTGCTTCTATATTTCCCTACAAGATGATTTTACGAAAGGAACTTTCCCTGTGTTTTGTAGGTACTTGGGCTGGGCAACTGAAGTCAGAAGAGAGGGAGAAAGAAGGGAGACACCCCACCCCCACCCCCACCCCATACACATCTGCAGTATTTTCCATGATGCTCAACTGGTCTAGTTGTGAAAAACAATTATGGGAAATTATTTTTGCTTTTCCAAAATTATGACAACAAAGAAAACCCAAATTTCATCCCCAGCCCCCCTAAAAACATAAATGATTTCGATCACTTTTTTTTTTTTGAGGAAGAGATGCATCAGCTTTTAAATAAATGGTGAAGAGCAATAACATCTGATGGAGAGGGGCCACCTGGGCTCATTTCACCTGTGCAGTGGATTCAGGTGGTGGGCCATATCCATCCCATACTGCAGTTTGTGGTTGCTGTTGTTAGGGGTGCCATATGTCTTTCCCTTGTTCTTTGTCCACTGATATTCACTAGCCTGTTTGTCCTCACCCCTGAAGCAGATAAACACATGTAGATGGAGGAAAAGTGACAGGCAGGTGGGTTCATCAGTGGGCTCATCCCAAAGGTGACCCATCCCTTGGATTGGAGTCAGGTCTATTTTAGGCATGGCAGGTTGGAAGAAAGACTATTCTCATAGCTAACATGGCTGACCTTCAACCCTCTTTTCCCTTTAGTTGGACGTAGAAGCAGCTCTGACCAAAGCCCTTGGGGAAGTGGACATTCTTCTGACCTGGATGCAGAAATTCTACAAGCTCTGAATGTCTAGACCAGGACCTCCCTCCCCCTGGCACTGGTTTGTTCCCTGTGTCATTTCAAACAGTCTCCCTTCCTATGCTGTTCACTGGACACTTCACGCCCTTGGCCATGGGTCCCATTCTTGGCCCAGGATTATTGTCAAAGAAGTCATTCTTTAAGCAGCGCCAGTGACAGTCAGGGAAGGTGCCTCTGGATGCTGTGAAGAGTCTACAGAGAAGATTCTTGTATTTATTACAACTCTATTTAATTAATGTCAGTATTTCAACTGAAGTTCTATTTATTTGTGAGACTGTAAGTTACATGAAGGCAGCAGAATATTGTGCCCCATGCTTCTTTACCCCTCACAATCCTTGCCACAGTGTGGGGCAGTGGATGGGTGCTTAGTAAGTACTTAATAAACTGTGGTGCTTTTTTTGGCCTGTCTTTGGATTGTTAAAAAACAGAGAGGGATGCTTGGATGTAAAACTGAACTTCAGAGCATGAAAATCACACTGTCTTCTGATATCTGCAGGGACAGAGCATTGGGGTGGGGGTAAGGTGCATCTGTTTGAAAAGTAAACGATAAAATGTGGATTAAAGTGCCCAGCACAAAGCAGATCCTCAATAAACATTTCATTTCCCACCCACACTCGCCAGCTCACCCCATCATCCCTTTCCCTTGGTGCCCTCCTTTTTTTTTTATCCTAGTCATTCTTCCCTAATCTTCCACTTGAGTGTCAAGCTGACCTTGCTGATGGTGACATTGCACCTGGATGTACTATCCAATCTGTGATGACATTCCCTGCTAATAAAAGACAACATAACTCAAGTCTGGCAGACTTTCTTCTCTATTTCTGGATGAATGCCCAGTGAGACTGTGTTGTACAGCTAGAAAAGGCCTTCTTCCCAATAGCAAGGCTGTGCATCTAGCCTCAAGCTCTGGCTGAACTTTGTGGTCGACATCAATCTAAAGATACAGTGTCTGACTATAACCTTGTTCCAAAAACCTAGGCAAAGAGTATATGTAGGAGGTGGGATATCACTTCCATGACATAAGTGCTATTGCAGAGCCGTGGCCACCCAGGAACTCCTGACTGCTTTCCTTCCCCTGCTTGCTATACATTGTCTGGAACTGGCTAAGAAATGGGGAACATTTGTGAAAACCAAGAAATGTAATGGTTTTGGATGAATAAAATAGACCAAAGTTAAGGTAAGTGCACAAATATCAGTGTCAGGCTATGGAAGAAAGATAAAGAGATACTTTTTTTTTTTTTTTTTTAGAGGGGAGATGCTGAGGTCAGGGCACTTATGTGCATCAAGTGATGGAGACAGAGTAAAGAGAATTTATGGATATATATGCATATCTTGCTAATAAGTTTGGTTTATCATCACATCAAGATAAATTGCCTTTAGCATAGAACTTGAGATAAGTAGACGTTCACTAGCAAGTGCTAACATTTGGATCAGGGCAAAGGCGTTTCCAGGAGTGTTTTTATACCAGACCCCTGCTTAGTCCATGGGGCTGAGGCATGTCACATAACTCAGAGCAAGAGCCTTCTATTTGTGTAAGACCCAACCCTGGGAAGGATGCCCGAGACAATAGCTATGCCTCTGCCCCAGCCTGATGCCATGTGATCTAGAGCCTGGGCAGCAACAACCCTGTGGTCAAAGACATGGAAGAAACACTCTGCAAATCCCACAGTCTGTTCGACGGCTTGGAAAGGAAGCAAGTGGCATTGGGACAATTGCTCTACATGCCTACAGCTTACCTGTCAACTACAGGGGGCTGCCAAGGTGTGCAAGACGACCTGGGGGCAGAGCCATGCTCAGGGCACAGATAGATGGGGATGGGAGTCGAGATGGGGCATGGGAAGTGATGAGGGCTCTGAGAACACATGAAGCAGGTATTGGACATCAGCAGATAGATGAGACTCCTTGGCACCACAGTCCGAGCCTGGGGTTGGGGGATAGCTGGGGAGTTGTCAGGCAGGAACATTGATGTAGTCATCTGAATCACTGTCCTCCATCATGGCGGCAGGCTGGTGGTAGAGGCTCACGTATTCACAGCTGGTCTTCAGAGATGGGGCATGGAGCCAGGGAGATTCAGACACCTGGGGACAATGAAAGAAGCATCACTGGATCTGGGTAGGGTGATTTTAATATCTCCCCAGGTGGATTTTCATAGTGGGCAATGGGGCATGGACATGGCTGCTGAGTTCCAGAAGGCAAAGACACAGAGATGGCTCAGCTCCATCAAGTGGAGTAGCCCTGGGGATTTTCAGGGTAGTGTCTCACCTGAGATAACTGGAAAACCTAATGTGGGCAGGAAATGCCTTAAATGGGGCTCAGAGTAAAATCATGTGGCTAAGCATGGGCCTGAAAGAGACCCAGCTGCCAGAGGAGTATCCCCTCGGGGATAAGATGCTGTGACTTATGGCATAAATATGCATCTTCTTAGGGAGTTATTCAGAAGTAGAGTGAGTCACCCTCAGCACCTCTGTAAGGGCTCAGAGATGCTGTGATGTGGCGTCGTGACAGTGCATTCCAGGAAGGGGGATGGATGGTGAAGGGGATAAGATGGCAGCCCACATGGAACACTGGTGCTCCTCTTCCCCAGACAGAAACTTCAGGATCATCCACCTTGAGGACAGTCAGTTCTCAAAAGACAGGACTGTGCCAGTGACCCCAACATGGCACAGTTACTATCTCATCCACTGAGGAAGGCCACAAGGGGGACAGTTATGTATTTAAACACAAGCTCTGAGAATTAGACGTCCAGCAGCCTGAATATAGTAGGCATTCAGGAAGTACTCATTGAAAGGAACTTTTATATATTTTGTACTTTACTAAAGAGGGAAGCAGCAGCAGCTTGCTTTGAAAACATGTTTTCCATCAGTCAAGGAAGTAAGAAGCCACAAAACAGAAAAGAAAAAAAGAGAGAAGGTTGAAAAGAAAAGTAACAGTGAGAGCAAAGAAAACTAAGCAACAAAATTACATGGTCCTGGTATAAATGTCAGTGAGGATGAAACTCAGTCAAGTAATCAGTGAAAGACAGCTAATAAGCACATGTTGGTAGCACTCCACTTAGATGATATAAGACCAGTCAAGAAAGACCTGGATCCCAGAACAGCTCAAGATGTCAACCCGAAGCAAATTAACCAGCACATAACAATAGGAGAAACGATACACAAAGTTGGAGGTGACACAGAGAAATGAGAGATGATCAAGATAAAATTTCCAGGGTGGGAAGGAAGGTGGTAATACCTGAGCTTCCTTTAGAGGCCAAAGAAGAGACTGAGGACGGGAAGAAGATGAGGCTGAGGATGGGGAAGAGGATGAGGCAGAGGAAATCCTCGATGTATGACATGATTTTGTTTTTGTTAAATTAAACGAACTTTGAAAAAAGTGAGCAAGTCCTTTGTTAGTTTTTCACACTATCTTCTATTATGTTTTAATTAACTTTCTTTGTCTGAAATAGAGATGGTTTTAGATTTGCTAAAAAACAAAAATTTGTCTTTCACTGCCTGTTATAGTTCATCATTTGAGATTAACTTATTTGGCTTAAGAAATGGAAATGCTCCCCATGGAAGCTATAATAATGAGTCATTAAGCATAGGCACCTTTTTGTAAATTTGTTCCATCAAGATTTTTGCCCCTAATAGTGGGAATGAGAGTTTCAAGTAGAGAGGCAGGGTCAGCTTGGAACAAGGTGCAGGCCCAGGTGAGGGTCTGTGTGGTCACAGGGCAGTTTTAGAGAAAAGGGCTGCTGGAAAGACGGAGTAGACAGACAGTGTGGCGCCTGTTGTCCCTCCTGGTTGCTGCACCATCCTCTGGAGTCAATGGTCAGTATTCAGGTACCAGGACCTTGTGCACATATTTTCGAAGCAAGCTGCTGCTGCTTCCCTCTTTAGTAAAGTACAAAATATATCAAAATTCCTTTCAATGAGTACTTACTGAATGCCTACTATGTTCAGACTGCTGAACACTGCCACGCGGGTGTGAACCTTCTCTAGCGGGGGTGGGGAAGGGCAAGCCGGAGAAGCCGGGGGGTGGGGGGGTGGGGGGGTGGGGGGGGGGTGGGGGCGGGGTGGGGACTGCGCAGAACTGCCTCTTGTTGCTGGGTACCACTCTCTTCTTTGTAGCCAGGCCCACGATTGACCAGCTGGGGATTAAATTTCTCAGCCTGCCTTGAAGGGAGGTTCACTACATGGTTAAGTTTCAGCCTCTAGGATGCAAGTGGAAATGGTGGGAAACGTCAGGGTCATGGGCTTAAGAAGCAGCATTCTCTTCCTCCCTCCTGTAAGCTGGGACGTGCACACGGTCCTGGTGCCTGTGTACTGACCATGGAGCTGGCAAGACTCCAGAGGATGGCGCAGCAACCAGACAGAGGGAATTTCAGTCCCGAGATGACCTCTTGGCTCACTGGCTCAGGCCACCTCTTCCTGTCCCTGTCTGAGCCTTTATTTGGGGAGGGGGAAGTAGGCTTCCACCGTGTGGGCCCTGTCTTTTGGAGTCTGCTGCATTAGCTTAGTCTACATGCGAATTAAACAAGGGATTTTCTTTTCCCAGGCGGCTGCCGAAGATGGCGGGGGTGCAGGTCCTGGTGCTTGATGGTGGAGGCCATCTCCTGGGCCCCCTGGCGGCCATCGTGGCTAACTAGGTACTGCTGGGCTGGAAGGTGGTTGTCGTACGCTGGGAGGGCATCAACATTTCTGGCAATTTCTACAGAAACAAGTTGAAGTACCTGGCTTTCCCCCGCAAGCGGATGAACACCAACCCTTCCCGAGGTCCCTACCACTTCCCGGCCCCCAGCCGCATCTTGTGGCACAAGTACGAGGCTTGCTGCCCCAAGAGACCAAGTGAGGCCAGGCCGCCCTGGACCACCTCAAGGTGTTTGACGGCATCCTACTGCCCTACGACAAGAAAAAGCGGATGGTGGTTCCTGCTGCCCTCAAGGTCGTGCGTCTGAAGCTTACAAGAAAGTTTGCCTATCTGGAGCGCCTGGCTCACGATGGTGGCTGGAAGTACCAGGCAGTGATAACCACCCTGGAGGAGAAGTGGAAGGAGAAGGCCAAGTTCCACTACAGGAAGAAGAAACAGCTCATGAGGCTACGGAAACGGGCCGAGAAGAACGTGGAGAAGAAAACTGACAAATACACAGAGGTCCTCAAGACCCACGGGCTCCTGGTCTGAGCCCAATAAAGACTGTTAATTCCTCATGCTTGGCCTGGCCTGCCCTTCCTCCATCGTCGCCCTGGAATGTGCGGGACCCAGGGGCAGCAGCAGTCCGGGTGCCACAGGCAGCCTGGGACATAGGAAGCTGGGAGCAAGGAAAGGGTCTTAGTCACTGCTTTCTGAGGTTACTTGAAAGCACTCAGGGAATTGTGCAGGTGTAATTTATCTATGACCAATAGGAAGAGCAACCAGTTACTATTAGCAAAAAGGAGTCGGAAGACTAATTGGAGGGGCCCTACCTTGTGAGTGGGGCGTCTGTTTAACTTTCCACCTGGTAATATAGCTCTGCAGCTGTTAGAATGTGCAAGCGCTTGGGGACAACATGAGCTTGCTGTTGTACAAAGGGTATTTATAGAACCATAGACTGGGAAGATGTGCGACCAAGGGGTTACAGGAATTGCCTGTGCTCCTCACCTGTATTTTGTAATCAGGATCAAATAAATTATTTTTAAAGAAAAAAAAAACAGGGATTTTTACCACACCCTTTTAAAAAAAGCTTTATTCTGGGCTCTGCGTGTTTTGGACACTGTAGGCTGCTTTAGAGAATAAAAAGCTTTCTCATCTCAATTCTTAAAGATGAACGGATAAAGGCTTTCTACCCAACCATCAGTGGCCCTGAGTGGAAACGCGAGTTCCCTCCATCCACTCTAGATTTAAAGATGAATCCTCCTCACTCAAGGTGTTGAACCCTGTCTACATCTCTCCCAAGTCATCCTCTAGCCAAGCTTAACCGCCTCCAGAGAAAGGTAAATTACCTCCTCTCATCTTCGAGAGTTTACTAGAAAGTTCTCGCGCACAGGAAGGTGAACTGTCTAGGTAGCTTCCACCTCCCTAGGACCCCCTAGAAATCTAATCTCCTCCACGAGAAAGCCTTTCACATAACTGTGGAGCTGCCACCTATCATTCTCTGCTAAGCCAGCTGCATCCAGCACGCAGGTATCCCGTGACAACTGCTTGGCTAGAAGCCACGGAACCAGGTCTTCTACAGTTCCCGGTATTCAACCTCCTGACACCAAACAAGGAGGAAACTAAAACAACTTGTTCCTCGGCTCAGGGCCCAGGAGCTGCTGGGAAACCCGCTCTCCGGATCGCGGCGGCGGCGGCGCGGGAAGCCACACTCGGGTCCCCGCCCAGGGCTGGGGCCGCCCAGTCGGGCCGCGGCTGCCAATCAGGGCAGGAGCGGAGCTTACCTGCAGCGGGGCGGGGGGCAACGGCGCTCCGGGGCCGGGAACGGGGGCCTCCCCTGTGCCTAGGGAACAGCGAGGGCGAGGTGAGGCGGCGGCCGAGGCTCCCGCCCCACCGTCATGCTACTACTCCCAGCTCCACCCCCGCCCCACTCCCAGCTCCACCCTGTGGGAAGCCCTGGCACCTGGGAGCGCGCCCCGCTGCGCCCGGCTTTCCCGGAGCCAGCGCACTCTTTCCGCTACTCCCCGTGGCCCGCCCGGCGGCTCACCTGCAGCGTCCGCTCCACGAGCGCGCCGCGGGCAGGCGCTGTAGATGTTGTTTTGGGAGCGCGGTCGCGGCGACCCGCGGGGCCTCTGGGAGCTCTCCAGGGCGCGCATCCTCACGGCCAGTCGGCGGGCCCGCCTGGAGAGGGCTTCCCCACAAAGCCACGGGAAGAGGGAGGAAAATGGCATCAGAGGCCCGTGCCACCCTCCCCAAACGAAAGGCTGCCTCCTCCCTCGGGCTTGGCAGTGTCTGACCTGGAGATGCTCCAAGCGTGGGGAATGTACGAGGCACGGCCTTGCCCTGCCCTGAAGACCAAAGGGCCCAGGCCGCTCTCCTCCTCAGACCAGTGGCCCCCACTTCCCTAACTTCCCTACACCCCAGGCTGCTCATCAAAAGCTCCGAGTTTCCCATGGAAGTTCAAAAGGGGGTTCTGAACGCTGTGGGCTCTTTGGGCAGCTCAGCTCTCCCTACCGAAGCCCAGCCGCTCACCTTTCCTCCTTTCAACGGCCCTTTTCACCACCAGCCCCAGAAGTGCCAGCAGGAAAAGGCCCAGGATGGTCGGGATCAGGATGTGAAATCCTTGGCCTTCCCTCCCAGACTGTGAGCCATAGTCCAGTGCTCTGGGGAGGGAAGGAAAGGGAGAGAGGGAGGAAGAGATTATTAAAGGAGGTAGGTTGAGGGCTTGCTCCTGTGTAGCCAACGTTTTTGGAGATGACTTACAGGTTTGTCCTTTTGTTAACAGAATTCACTCCACTCCCCCCTCAAAAAGACTTGCCTATGGAGTCACGAAACTTGAATTCAAATTCATATTCCGCCTTTTACTGGTTGTGTGATCTCGAACGAGTCTCCTAACCTCTCTGAGCCTTATCTCTCCATAAATAGGTATAGTAAAATCTATTTCACAGAACTGTTATGAGGATGAAATAAGAGTGGATATAAAGAATTTAATGCACCTTCCGGTGTTCAGCACCTTAGTTTCTTCACGAGATTATTGCAGATATTGACTGGGCTAGTTCCTTATAATGGTGGGGGAAAGGATGTTTTTCTCATAGTGCTCCTTCTGCCTAGAAGTTTTCCCCTCAATTTTCTCTGCATATTGAAATCTTACTTTTCTTAAAGGACATTGTGTAAGTCCTCTTTTCTTCCTAATTATGGTAAGCCAGATTTGTGTGTGTGTGTGTGCGCTTTGGGTTTCCAATTCTGTGGTCATGCCTGTTTCAGACTTTATCAAGTCAGACTTATGTTAGTAAGATCTGGATATTGCATATTGTCATCTTCTTATATCTTCAGGACATAGCACAATGCTTGCCACATAGTAGAGAATAAGAAAATGCTGGTTGACCTTGATGTTTTCCCTACTAATAGGTAGGAAGCAAGAGTCCTGGTTCTGTTTGAAACCACTTGGTTCTCATGGCCCCAGTTTCTCCTACCTATAGAACCCAAATGATTTTGGAGGTCCTCTTTCTCACTATCACCTTTGTCTTTGCTTATGCAAAACCAATTTTGATTATTATAGGGTTTTTTTTTTTTGGAGTCTGCTATAATGCTTCCCCCTAGTGGTATATTGCAGTACTTCCTTGGACTGCACCCCAGCCTTTAGACCGGTGCTGTCCAGGAGAAATGTGAGTCACATATGTAATTTTAAATTTCCTAGTAGCCACATTAAAACAGTAAAAGGAAATGGGTGAAAGTAATTTTATATTACTAGTTTAATAGTTAATTTTATTTTTATTCTCATTTAGTTCTTCCCCATAAAAATAGATCTGAATGAATCTAAGTGACTGGAAGAGCTGGGTCTCACTTCTTTCTACAGGATCAATGCTGGGGCATTGACAAGTGTGTTTTTGTTAAAGGAACTAATGAGTTAATGAGCTATACTCATAGGTGGTATATTTCACAGTGGCCTAGAGACAAAGCCAAGGAGGGTGTCTAATAATGGACATTGCAGTGGGTTTCAGTGGATCTCTTAATTCTAGCCTAACTCTAGATCCTGGACAGTGGTCT
Source organism: Homo sapiens (assembly GCF_000001405.40). Taxonomy (NCBI): domain Eukaryota; kingdom Metazoa; phylum Chordata; class Mammalia; order Primates; family Hominidae; genus Homo; species Homo sapiens. The sequence continues at coordinate 206,911,725 of NC_000001.11, forward strand.
CTTACCTCTGCCTGTGCAGCCTGGTGTGGTGGTTGTAGCTGGGCGTCTGGGGCTTGAGCAGCCCCTCCAGAGCTGAGATTTTTGAGGCTGTAGTGGATGGCAGGAAGGTTCGGGGCTTGTCACCTGCTACTGAAGATGCTCTGGACACTCGAGGGCGGTGGGTGATTTGGGTGGTGGGGGAGGAGTGGTGAACTGGAGGGACCTTGCCCCTTTGAGCTGGTGTGGTAACTGCAGGAGGTAGCAGGAAAAAGGGATGTTCCTTTTATACACTCTATTCTCCAACAGGATTAGGTCACCACCTCTTTCCACAACATACCCTTCCCTTTTATACAGACTACTTCTGTTCTTGCAGTCCTCAGGGCCTAAAATCCTTTTTAACATGCTATCTAGGCCTACTCAATTCCAAGTATATTTGCTTCAAATACCATTTCTTCCAGGAAGCCTTCCCTGACTTCCCAGGTAGAAGAGCTTGCCCCCTCTGAGCAGGGGGAAAACCTTTTTTGTAGTTCTATTCCCAATCTGCCTTGTGCTGTATTTGCGTGCTAATCTATTCTCCCCCATTTCACACCTATCAGTCACAACCTTGGCTACATGATCTGTTCAATTACACTATCCCTCTTGGCTCTCAGCAGGGTTACCTAGTGTAATAATGTTCAATTAATGTGTCTACCTCATAGGCATATGGGATAATATGATGGAAATATTGCATGTCAAAATGCATTTAAAACTGGATGATGATATCAAAATGTAAAGGTATCATTAGTATGAACATCCTTAATCTTTTAGTTGCAAAATAGAGTTAAAATCATTAGATGCCAGCAGGTAGAAGACAGCCCTACGGGAAGCACGAGACATGATGATCTCCAGCTGGGAAATGTCTGCCCAGTCTTGGTTTCCGCAGTCATTCATAAAAAGAGCTAGATTTTGTGAGTGGAGCACAAACATCATTGCTTGTGGTGCCACCTGGTGGTAATATGTAAGTTCTGCAGCTAGGACCAGGGGACCTGACTGTCGGACAGGCTTGAAGGATATGGACCGCAGATCTCAGGGAGGTATGTGCCCTCTCTAAAGGCAGGGAATACACACCTAAGACTCAGCTCAGCTCTGCCAGCCACTCTATGAACTGAACATAGACCCCCTCCTCCATTTTCACATTGCCACAGCATCTCACCCACCTCTCCTACCCTTGCTATGGTGAACTGACCTCTGGTTACGAATTTGGAAGAACTGGCATATGCAGGCATCTGGAACAAATAGGGCAGATGAAACCATTTTGGAGTCTCAGGCATTGGCTGCTCTTCCCATGATGGCTCGTATTCTATTGGAAGGAAGAGGAATATGTTGGTGGTCTCTAGGGGGAGACTGAGGCTTGGGTGTAAACTGAAGCTAATTCAGCCAAAGTGGATGACAGTGAGGGGATGAGGGCAGGGTCCACTGAAAGAAGCAGAGAAGGAGCTGGGTTGGGGGCTTCCCTGGAGGAAATACTGGTTCCCCTAGTCCAGTCAACATTCCCTGCAAAACCAGCAGAGGTCATTGGGATTCTAGGCTGTTGAATTACTGCTGCATATGTGTGGGGAACTCAGTGGAGGAAAGGAGAAAGGCGGGGTTCCAGAGAAATAAAGGATCAGGTCACAGAGTAATAAGATTGGCCTATAAATGTGGCTGGATAAATTAGTGTCTTTCCTTTATTTCTCATGGGACAATTACGTTGGATAGTTATTTCCTTTTGCTTCCAATTTCCTCCATCTCAGAGCCTCTCCTCAATCTCAAGCCTCTACTCCCCTCATGCCCTGGGTAGGATGAACAATACAAAGAGAGCACCTATCTTGTTCTTTTCATACATGTTGGGTAGAAAATTGTGTGGACCATGGAGGTAATTGACTATGAGGTTTCATATGGATCTCAATCATTATGTGGCTTATATGGCAACAGTGTAAGAGTCTAGGAGACTGTTACAGTTAGATGGCTGTTCCAATCTTCCCAAGTGAAACATTTTCTGGGTAGTCTGAGCCTCCAATCAGCGGAGGAACCTACCACTGTGGACATTCAGGGTGACTTTCTGGGTCTTTCCCCGGTCTGTGTTCATGCCCGCTCCGCAGGCATAGACTCCGCTGTCACTTTCTGTCAGCTGTGTTACCTCCACTAGGAACAGATTCTTGCGTGGGTATTGCTTCAGAGTAACTCGGCCCTTGTATTCTGCCTTGATGAAGTTGGTGGTGGATACCACGGTACCACATGTTCCAGATCCAGCCATCTCCCGGCACAGATATATCCTCACATGCATTTCAGGAAGTGGGCACTTGATGGTAACTGATCCGCCCAGCTCCCCCTCTACCTTTACTTCTGGGAGGATCCTCAGGGCCCCCGATACTGCAGGGAGAGGAGATTAATGCAGAGGGAGCCCCATCTCTAACTATATCCCAGCCCCATCTACTTCCCAGCTCCAGCCGTCTCTCCAACCCTAGCCCAGGCCCCAGCCCAACCTCACATTCATCCCCAGATCCAGCCCTGTCCCAATTATTAGCCTGGCCTCAGCCTGTCCTTAGCCACAGCCTTATCCTCATTTCTTTTTTCTTTTTCTTTTCTTTCCTTCCTTCCTTCCTTCCTTCCTTCCTTCCTTCCTTCCTTCCTTTCTTTCTTTTTCTTTCCCTTCCTTCCTTCCTCTCTCTTTTCTCTTTCTTTCTTTCCTTCCTTCCTTCCTTCCTTTCTTTTCTTTTTTTTTTTTTTAATAGGATCTCACTCTGTTACGCAGGCTGGAGAGCAGTGGTATGATCATGACTCACTACAGCCTCAACCTCCTGGGCTCAAGCAATCCTCCCAGCTCAGCCTCCCAAGTACCAGGGACTACAGGTGCATGCTGCCATGCCTGGCTAATTTTTGTCTTTTTTGTAGAGATGGGGTTTTCATTATGTTGCCCACGCTGTTCTCGAACTCATGGCCTCAAGTGATCTGCCTGCCTCGGCCTCCCAAAGTGCTGGGATTGAGCCACCACGCCCAACCCTTATTCTCATTTCTACCCTTAGTCTCAACTTCAGCCTCATCCCATCCCCAACCCTATTCACAACCTCAGGCCAGCTCTATGTTCACCCCCAATCCTATGCCTTAGCGTTACCTTAATTTAACCCCCAGCTTTGGCCTCACCACCAAACCCAAACCCATAAGGACCCAGACACTAAACCATTGAGATGATAATCAAAAGTATATCACTCACTCCAAAGAGACATAATATGCCTCAGGTGACCCCAAACAGCATAGAGCCCCCACGTGACCTCAGTGTGGTGCTGGGAGCATGGTGCGGTTATGTTGCAACAGGTTTTCCTTTCCAGTTTGGTTTCGCTCAGGCGCATCCATCTAGCCATTCATCCACAGCTCTATTTATTAAATCATTCAACAAGCGTTTATTGAATGCCTTTCCTGTGACAGTAAAGCAGCCGGCATCCCTCCCTCAGTCACAGATCATTTAGTGAGTGATACCAATCAATGGCCAGTGAGCAGTGTAATACATCCCATGAGAGAGATCGCATGGGGTTCCCTGGAAGGAGCAAACCCGGGCGCCTGATGTAGGCTGTTGCAGGGGGTGGCGTGGTCGGAGGAGGGCTTTCTGGAATAAGTGACGTCTGAGTTGTGACCTGAAGGAATGGGTATGGAGTGCAACTGAGAGCGTGACGATGCTCATCATGGAGGCAGGGGACATAGGAGGGGAAGTGAGGGTGTGTGTGTATGTGTGCATAGGTGTGCACACACTGTATGTGTGCTGGGGAGGGATAAAAGATGTGGTTCATGAATCCCTGACATCATAAAGCTTATGCTTTGAGTGACAGAGGTCAGGTCTAATGCACTTGAGCCAGCTACAGAAGAGGGTAAGGCCGTGTCTGACTAATTGCCAACTAAGCGGATCCCATAAGTGTCTGCATATTTCTGGGAAGAAAGTTCATAGGGTAAAGTTGTGTGTGTGTGGCGAGGTGGGGCTGGAAGCCTGAAGTGGGGAGAAGAGATTCTTCCAAATAGCCAGAACAGTCCCCTAACAGTCCGGGATATGAGAGAGAACATAGCATGTCCATGGGCGGAGAGACATTTGCAAACGTACTGAGATTTATCCACAGGGCACACTTTAAGAAGAGCACTATCGAGTTTAGTCAAACAAGAGTCAGGTATAGCTTAGGAAAGAGGTGGGGCTTGAGGCTTTGGGATAAAGACACTCTGGGCAAAGGGAAGAATTCTGACAACGGTAGAGAGGTAAAAACAATCATGGGAGGGGGAAAGGGGGTTGGGGCAGGTGGGGAGATTTGGAGAGGGAGGACGTACAGGAGGACATTGAGATCTAAAAGTGTAGCTGATGTAAACATGGTAGGGACAGGCAGATGGACCAGCCAAAACCACGAGTTCTGACATGGAAACCCTCACATGAAAAACCCAGCACTGCTTTAAACCCACTGGAAATTGAGTCATGAGGTAGCCTCACAACTAGACATTGCAATGGAAAGGTGACCTGTCACAAAGTGTCAATCAACAGACAAAGACCCAATCAAAGGAAGGTCTGGAGGAATCACCCTGTGCATCCAGACAGCCCCCACCTGTGTGGGAAGTTGAATGCCGAGGGTGGGAGCACGTGGAAGTATTCAAATGAGACTAACCCAGCCAGGAAGGGGGTGTGAATGCCACTTTCCCAAGAGCAAGATGGTACACAACGGGCAGGGGGAAGATAGCAGAGATGGGGTCATCACCCATGTAGCAACCTCCAGCAGCCTCAGGCCTCCCAGGGTTGAGCTTTTGGTAAATCCCTGGCTTGCCTGTTCGGCTGCTTGTGCAGACCCTAGACGGATGAAGTGCAAGGAAAGCTGCTGGCTATGCTGAGCTCTGGTCCACAAGGAAGCAGTTGTTGGCGATGTGAAAATGACCAGTCCCCAGGAAAAAGAAACTAGTTCTCCTCAAGTTCATGGTAGCTTCTAACCTATTCCCAAGACTTAGTAAAGCAGATTTTGAAAACAGAGAAAAGACAGATATAAGCTACTGGTTTAGACATCTAAAGTAGCACAGTGTGCATGAGACTCATCTGAGGAGATTGGCTACGATGCAGATGATCTGGTCCCGTTCTTAGGAAAGGTGATTACATCTGTCTAGGGCATGGTCTAGAAATACGTGTTTTTAAACAGGTGTCCCAGGTGCTCTTGCATTTCTGCAATCCTGGGCTATATAACATTTACAAATGATTCTGGGGAAGAAAGGGAGGAATGAGAGAAGGCATCGAAAGGAACCAACCTGTTCAATAGTAATATTTCTGAGAGGCTGCTAAGTAAGTGACATTAATCTCTAAATTGGTGACTTGATTTTCAGTGGTTATGGTAGGGAAGAGGGGGATATGTGGCTTAAAGAATCACTCTCAATATATAAACGGATGTAAATACATGATTGGAAAATGGGAAAAAATTTTCACCATACAAAATAAGATCAAGGTCCATAGGTCCTTGGTGGCTGGGGAGCTCTGGAGAGGGACTCTGGCACCCACTTAGGGGTGATTTTCCAGGTGGAAGTGCAGATGAGGACCTAGTCAACTCAAATAAGAGCAGATCTCAGGAAGAGGAGAGCTGGCCTGTGATTTTTATGTTTATCAAACGGGGCATGGATTTTTTTTTTGAAGGATGAGAAACATCCCGCTCAGCTTCTTATTTCCAGATATAGTAACCCGGGTGTGTCCAGGCCTGCAGCCTGTCACAAAGAATGAAGTGTCCACCTCCTTTCAAAGGCCAGCCCCTCCACCTGTATCCTGAGTCCATCATTCTCACCTGTTTTAGAACTTCTTGTCTGCAATGATCCTGTTTCTTTCTCTGGCTATTGGAGAAAAATGGCCTTCTCATCTAGCATTGCCATAGCTTACACACATGTCCTGCTATTGCCCATATTTTCTTCTCCTTCTGTTTTTAAGACAGGGTCTTTCTCTGTCACCCAGGCTGGGGTGCAGTGGTGCAATCTTGGCTCACTGCAGCCTCCACTTCCTGGGCTCAATTGAGGCTCCCACTTCAGCCTCCTGAATAGCTGAGATCACAGGCGCCTGCCACCATGTGTGGCGAATTTTTTTTTTTTTTTTAGAGATGGGCTTTCACCCAGGCTGGTCTTGAATCCCAGGCTCAAATGATCCACCCACCTCAGCCTCCCAAAGTGTTGGGATTACAGGCATGAGTCTCCATGCCTGGCTTTGCCCATCTTTAGAAATCCCTCAGTTGACCTTTGCCTCCCCTTCACCTGCCAACACACCTCTTTATTCTCTTTCTCAAATCAGTCATCAAATTCGCTAAATCAGATTCACTTCCATACCTCCCAATTTCTCTTCAATCCACTTCTATCAGAATTTCGTGTCCAGTATTCCACTGAAACTGCTCTTGTCAAGTCACTGAAATTCTCCTGTTGCCACATGTAATGGTCACCTCTTTGTCTTCATTTCCCCTCATCCTCTCAGCAGCGGTTGACAGAATGGAGCCAGCCCAGCTTGAAACACACCCTTGGTGTGGCTTCCTTAGTGCATACCCTCAACGGTGGCTCCCTGTCAGCCTGCATTCTTCCTCTCCTTCTCTCCTGCCTCTCCATCCTGGCTAGCCCAGGCCCTGTGCCTTGGACCTGTTCTTTTCTCTGTCCTCCCTCCCTCTCTCCCCTCACTCGCTCATTGACTCCCATGGCTTTTAAGGCTAATGCTATAGATTCCACCAAAATGTGATCTCCAGTCTTCCTCTGAGCTCCAGACTTGCTCTGACATCTCCACGTGGACCCTACTTGAATGTGTAAGATATATGCCAAACTTAGGACAGCTGAGAAAGAGCTGATTTCTCTTCCAAAACCTGACCTTCACACACTCTTCCGATGACCCCATCATCCACCCATCTGCTGAAGCCTAGAACTCATCTTCATGTTAAAGAATCAAGAATAAATTTTAAGTGTGTGTGTGTGTGTGTGTGTGTGTGTGTGTGTGTCTGTGCATGCTGGGTCCCAGCATCAAATGTATGTATGTATGTATGTATTATTATTATCATTAGTCAAGGTAAAAAGGTTTGAAAGCTCACACTGCATGACACTGCCTTGCTTTATTATAGAGCTCTACACAGGGCTCCAGGCAAAGTGGTCTACAGTTTGTGCCTCATGCGCTAGGCCCTAGGGAGACCCACTCCAGCATTTGCAGGACCTGGAGTAGGAGTACAAATTAAAGCCCAAATACTATATATCTGAATATTTTTAAGTTATAAATCAAGCTAATAAACTGTTAAATAAAATTCGCTTTACTTCCCTAGCTTGACTAATGCACCCTCCTTGGATGTCCACTCTACTCCGTGGCCATGCAGGGAAAACAACCCCAAGCTTCCTCTCATCCCTTCCTCCTGCCCACAGCACAAGGGTCCTGGTATATACATAGTAGATACCCCAGCTTGCAAGTACAGTCTTCGTCCACCCCCACCTTCTTCCCAAATAGCCGCCCATGGCCACCTTTTATAGGCCAGGGGTCAATCTCAAGAGGAAGACCCAGGATAGAAGCTTGCACCGTCATTGAAAGGGGGCCCAGAGTCATGTGGACAGGGAATTCTAGTTCTAAAAGAGAGAGTTTGGGTAGGGCATGGTGGCTCAGGCCTGTAATCCCAGCACTTTGGGAGGCAGAGGCAGGCTGATCATTTGAGTCCAGGAGTTTGAGACCAGCCTGGGCAACATGGTGAGACCCTATCTCTATTAAAAATACAAAAATTAGCCAGGAGAGGTGGCATGTGCCTGTAGTCCCAGCTACTCAGGAGGCTGAGGTGGGAGGATCACTTGAGTCTGGGAAGTTGAGGTTGCAGTGAGTCGTGATCACACCACTGCATTCCAGCCTGGGTGACAGGAGTGAGATCCTGTCTCAAAAAAAAGTGGGATTAGGTGTGGGCTTGGGGCGTGTGCCTCCCCCGGCCTGCAAAGTGCTCACCCTGTGGGCATGGGCATGACTGGAGAAGGGTGGAGCCCATAGCAGGATCCCTTGGCCCAGCTAGAATGAGGGTACTTCTCAGGACAGACTGAAGTGGTGCAATTTGAGGACCCTTCATGCCTTTAGGTCTTCCACTCCCCACCAAATCCTCTCTTCCTCCTCAGGCCTAAGTTTAGTTAACCAACCACCGTGCCCTCCTATGTCCTACTACCTCTCACAGTGTTTGATGTTTCACGTAAACTCCATTCCGTTGGACTTTTAGAGATTTTCAATCTTCAGCTTAACAAATATCTGAGTTTCTTTCATACTCAAGACATCACAAAGAAAGCAAACATAATAGGAAGCCACTTTAATCCACAAGGAACTTATCACTGAATAAACCAAATTAAGATGGACACACATTGAACATAATACAAGGCAGCCATTGGGCTCAGAAGAGGGGGCTCAGGAATGTCTACAATAAGGAGGTGAAGTTTGAGATGGACTTTGAAGAACCCATAAAAAGTGAAGGTGGCCAGGTGCAGTGGCTCAAGCCTGTAATCCCAGCACTTTGGGAGGCCGAGGCGGGTGGATCATCTGAGGTCAGGAGTTCAAGACCAGCCTGGCCAACATGGGAAAACCCCGTCTCTACTAAAAATACAAAATTTAGCCTGTCACGATAGTGCGCACCTGTAATCCCAGCTACTTGGGAAGCTAAGGCAGGAGAATCGCTTGAACCCAGGAGGCGGAGGTTGCAGTGTGATGAGATTGTGCCACTGCACTCCAGTCGGGGCAACAGAGAGAGACTCTGTCTCAAAAAAAAAAAAAAAAAGGTGAAGGTGAGAGGAAGGGTGTTCCTGGCAGAAGGCACAGCATGGGCAAAGACATGGTGGCAGGAGTGTGTGGCTTGTGTTCAAGGAGGAGTCCTGTTGGCCGAAGGTTAGGAAAGTGTTGGGGAGTATGGTTGGCTCAGAGTATGAAAGGGGATACAGGGAGGAGTGTATATTGACTTCAGTAGGCAGTAGGAGTCATTAGAGGTTCTTGGGAGAGGTAATCCTGTGATTAGAAGTCAAGTTTAAGAAAATTAATCTGGCACTGCAGGCATCCTGAGTTAGAGGAAGTGGGAAAGATAGTTAAGAGGGGATTGTGTGTTCTTTTCCCGTCCATTTCCTCTGTTACCTTCCTAGTATCAATTGCTGCTGCTTCTTATCCCAGTAGACATGGATCTAGAAACTGCAATGATTTGGCCATTGACTGGATCAAGGTCTGAATGAGGATACATGGGAAGAGGTGGTAATTAGCCATTCTGGCATTTTGTGGCTGATGATCAGCGATACTTCAGACAGGTGAAATAGCTGGTTTGGATGGTGATCAATGAAGAATTGAGGTAAGGTTAGGCAGTTTACATTTCAAATCTTGGTGGAATATTGAAGCAGAGGTTGCCCAGGAGACAGTTGTAAGTTGAGATATGGAATTCAGGAAATAGATTAGAGCTACTGAATGGATTACGGAATTTTCATTTAGGGTTGAAAGTTGGAAATTCGGGACTGAAAAAGATCTATAGAAAGAGTGTAGAGGTAAGAAGAAAGAAGTACGGAGACACTTGCTTTAAGATCCCATATTAATAGGCTAATATGTTTAGGAGAGATGACACCTTCAGCTCTTAAGAGTTAACACCTGGCTGGGCACAGTGGCTCACACCTGTAATCCCAGCGCTTTGTGAAGCTGAGCCAGGAGGATCACTTAAGGCCACAAGTTCAAGACCATCCTGGGCAACACAGCAAGACTCCATCTCTACAAAAAAATTAAAAATTAGCTGGGCATGGTGGCATGCACTTGTAGTCCTAGCTACTAGAGAGTCTGGGGTGGTAGGATCACTCGAACCCAGGAGTACAAGACTGCAGTGAGCCATGATCACACCACTGCACTCCAGCCTGGGTGATAGAGTTAACACCTGACTGAAACAGGAGAGTGTCTGGAGTGGAGAAAGGAGCATTACCATGGAGTGAGGAAGGCATCCAACACCTCACATGGCCTCCATTCTTGTCCTGCCCTAGGTGTTGGTTCACAACTGAATCCATCCAGAAACATCAGAGCTAGAGCTACCAGGCAATTATTCTACTTGTGGCCAATTCAAGCCTCATTCAGAGGTCTGAAGTGTTTCCCCACGGTACTTACCTGGCAGGAAGTAAAGTGGCCAAAGCCAGAAGTCCATTGTCCCTTCTAGAGTGCAAGGTCCATCCAAGAGCCCCTAGAGAGGGGGATGGAGACACGCTGCTTACTCAGGAACCCTTCACAATCTGGAACTGGAAAGAGATTTCTAGCCCCCACGAGGAACAAAGCTTGACGATGAGGAAATGACAACCTCCCTTGTTTGCTAACTATTCTCAGGCTAAAAAGAGAGTGCTGACAAACCACAGCGGAAGTCAGGAGCTGAGAAAACATGTTGTGTGGAGTAAGAAAGGGTCACCCTGTTCAAAAGGCATCTAAGAAGTTCCTCCAGACTATTAGCAGTGACCAGGCCTGATATTCCTTTGTCTTGGTGCTTTTTCTTAGCAGGGCCTCCCGTGCTTTATGTATACTCATTGGCTTCCGTGCTGGGGTCATTTGCTTTCATTCTGCCTTCAGGATAAAAGAGCCTTATCACCAATTTTCCCTGCCTGAGAAAGGCTGTATGGGCAGACGCTTGGGCCTGAAGTCAGAAGATGCTGACTGTAGTCCTTACCAGTCACCAGTTAACTCACCTTTACAATAGTTTTTGAGCACCTTCTATGTGGGGGTACTAACTAAGGACTTTGAGCAATCCATTACTTTTCTCTGAGCCTGAATTTCTTCATCTAGGAAATAAACGAAGCTGGGACTAGATGATCCCTGCCATTCCCTCCTGCAGAACACAGTTCCTGAGGACTTCACATAGCTCCCCAGCACCTCAGCCAACCTTCACCCTTAATCTCCCCAAAGTGTCCCCACAAGGTGCTGCCCTGTGGCAAGGGCTCAGGCCTCTGTCCAGTGACCACCAAGGCAATGCCAGAACTGGGGTGTGACAGGTCATGCAGCCACTTTGCCTGAAGTCACAGCACCCTGGTAGAGCTCTCCTTCAGGACCCCAAGGGCCCAAGGGTAAGGCCCATGACTGATGGAGAGAGATGCTGAGGCCACAGGGCATCTTGGGAAGAGTTTTGGATGCAAGTCAGAAGACCTCAGGTCTTGTACTGGCTTGGCACTTTCTAGCTTTGGGCAAATTTCCCTGGGCCTCGGTTTTTTCCTTGATAAAGTAGGGATTGCCCCTACCCTGCCCACCTCACATGGCTTTTCTGAGGCCCAGCAGAACTCACAGGCATGGAAGTGCTTTAAGAAGCCTTCACTGTGAGCTGCGCAGGGGTATTACTTATGAGGGCATTCTCAGGGCTCTGTTCCTGGAAGTTTCATCCCTGGAGGTCAGTTCTCAGGGCCCCAACCCCAGGTGAAAGGACCTCTTGTGCCCCTGGAGGATCCGGGCTATACTCACACTGTTTCTGGGGGGATGTGCCTGACAGACCCGGGCTCCACAGTGGTTGTGTCAGCCACTCCCTGCTCGCCCCCACACAGCAGATTTGTCACATGTTCTCTAAAACAACAACATCCGTGGTGGAAGTTGAATGTGAGGCTCAGAGCAGGTGCAGAGGAAGTGTGTGGGGGGGTGGGCAGCCTGCCCTGCCCCATCCCTATCTGAATCTCCCCTGGCCCGGAGCAGCTGTGGTTGTGATGTCCTCCAGCCCTGAAATGGGCCAAGATGGCAGAGGGCAGCCTCGGGCCTCTCCTTAGTGCCAGAGCTCCCAGCTGGGATTAGCCCCACCCTTCCCTACTTAGCGGGCTCTTCCCAATGCCCCAGAGCTGTCACACAGCTGGGCTCCACCATGCACTGGGCTTGAGGCCTGGGGCTGTCTTGGAGAGACAGAGAAGGGGAATATGAGTGAATGAACGTGATGTGTGTGGGGGCAAGAGTGTGTGAGTATGAATATATGTATGAATGAATGTGTGAGTGTATGATGTGTGTTGTATGACTCTGATGTTTGAGCGTGTGAAGTATGTGTGGTGTGTGTCTGAGGTGTGTGTAAGGGTGCAATGTATGTTGTGTGATACGTGTGTGGTGTGTGTGTGGTGTGTGGCTACAGTGTGAGTGTGTGTAGTGAGTGTGAACATGTAGTGTGTGGCTATGAGAGTGTGAGTGTGTTATGTGTAATGTGTCTGTGTGAATGTATGATGTGTGGCTATGAGTGTGTATGTGCTGTGTGGTATGTGTGTGAATGTAGGATGCGTGGCTGTGTGATGTATGTGTGTGTGTGAATGTGTGGTGTGCGGCTATGTGTGTGTGCTATGTGTTGTGTGTGGTATGTAGTTATGAGTGTGTGTCACTGCGTGGTGTGTGGCTATGAGTGTGTGTGTGCACACTCTATGCTGTGTCTAGTGTGTGAGTGGTTGAGTGTGTGAGTGTGTGGTGTGTGGTTATGAGTGTGTGTGTTCTCTGTCTAGTGTGTGTGGTGTGTGGTTATGTGTGTGTGATTGTGTGTGTGGTGTGTGTCCATGAGTGTGTGTGTGCTCTGTAGAGTGTGTGAGTGTGTGGCGTGTGGCTATGAGTGTGTGTGTGCACTGTGGAGTGTGTGTGTGGTGTGTGGCTATGAGTGTGTGTGTGCTCTGTGGAGTGTGTGTGTGGTGTGTGGCTATGAGTGTGTGTGCTCTGTCTAGTGTGTGTGGTGTGTGGTTATGTGTGTGTGATTGTGTGTGTGATGTGTGTCCATGAGTGTGTGTGTGCTCTGTGGAGTGTGTGAATGTGTGGTGTGTGGCTATGAGTGTGTGTGAATGTGTGGTGTGTGGCTATGTGTGTGTGCTATGTGTTGTGTGTGGTATGTAGTTATGAGTGTGTGTCACTGCGTGGTGTGTGGCTATGAGTGTGTGTGTGCGCACTCTATGCTCTGTCTAGTGTGTGTGTGGTTGAGTGTGTGTGTGGTGTGTGGTTGTGTGTGTGTGGTGTGCGTCCATGAGTGTGTGTGTGCTCTGTAGAGTGTGTGAGTGTGTGGTGTGTGGTTATGAGTGTGTGGTGTGTGGTTGAGTGTGTGTGTGTGGTGTGTGGTTGTGTGTGTGCTCTGTGGAGTGTGAGTGTGTGTGCATGTCTGTGAAGATCAGGGTTTGGCTGGGCTGAGGCTGGGGCCTGCCGGGCAGGGCGGAAGGTGTGTGGGATGGGAGTGGGCAGGAGAGCTTTTTGCATCACGTGTGGCCCAAGTGAAACCCTGAAAACATCCCATTAGGTTACAAGACTTAAGAGTTAGGGGTGTGAGGACGGCTGGGCAGGCGGCGAATGTCGGGAGTTTGAGGGGATCAAAATCCCCAGAACTGGGCTTGTTCCATTTACCTTTAGCTGTTGCCCCTGGGTCATGGGGGTTGGGGCCCAAGGGAAGACTGACTGCTGGTGAAATTGTGAACTTTACAATTCTTACATCCTTATTTTCTTCTTTCTTTTTTTCTCGTCTAAGCTCGATTTCTCCTTTCTGACTCACAGGGCTACCATGGTGCCCTGGCACTCTTACTCCCAGGGGAGTGTCTGCCAGGCTGGAGCACACCATGGGGCAAGGGAGCCAATGGCCCAACACCCTCTAGGGTCCAGAAGGGGTGAACCTGATGGAAAACATTCACAGCCCCCCGACAGCGGGTGGAGGGAATAAATAATGCCAGATCCAATGGAAAGTGAAGTCCTTGAGGTGTGTTCATTCGCTCTGTATGATGACCTTTTAGCTTAGGCTCTGCCATCCTCCCTATGTTACAGATGGGCTAAGAAGAACGTTTCTCGTAAGGCAGTTGTGAGGATCACATGAGGCAAGTGTTACAAGGGACTCAGCACACAGCCTGCGATGTGGTCAGAGTGCAGTGGAGATGAGCCACCGCCACTGGGTGGAGCTTGTTGTCATGGGTTCTGCTTGGTTATTGCTTTTCTCTGCTTTGACCTCCGCATGGCCGGGTTACAAGGGCCATTTTCTGGGCCTTCCCAAACTGAGGGCCTCCATCCTCAGGTGGTCCTCTCCATGACCCAACACTGTTCTCTGCAATGACAGACCACAAGAATCTCCTTGTCTGGTGGACTCACCAAGAACAAGCCCCCTCCCCAGGTAGAGGTACCTGACTCAGGGACCCTGTTGTCCCGTCCTTCCAAGCACCGCAGGACCCCAGGCTTGCCTGTCCCAGAGCAAGCCACTCCACAGCAGCAGGGCCTTGGAGCATTTACCTTTACAACAATAAGCCCATTTGTGACTTTTTTTTTTTTTTTGGCAGAGTCTCACTTTGTCCCCAAGCTGGAGTGCAGTGGCGCGATCTCGGCTCACTGCAACCTCCGCCTCCTGCGTTCAGGCAATTCTCCTGCCTCAGCCTCCCAAGTAGCTGGGATTACAGGCGCCCACCACCACGCCCAGCTAATTTTTGTATTTTTAGTAGAGACGGGGTTTCACCATGTTGGCCAGGATGGTCTCGATCTCCTGACCTTGTGATCTGCCCGCCTCGGCTTCCCAAAGTGCTGGGATTACAGGTGTGAGCCACCGCACCCAGCCATGTGACTTTTTTAAAGATAATAAATGGTAGGATTTTGATGACTAAGATTTCTTTCCTGACTATGGCCATATTCCTATTGGAGTTCTGAGGTTAAAACTCCAAATATGCAGGACTTTTGGATCAACTTCAATGTGACATAACAGCAACAACCTGGATTTTAGGATATTCATGTCCCTGTATCTAGGACAAAGATTTTTGGCTCTAGGGAGAGTGGCTTGGCTGCCCTTTTAAGAATCAGCCTTGGAAGAGACACTCCAGAGCTGCTTGGCTCCTATACCGATGATCCTCTCTCCATGCCTGCCTTGCTCCACAGCCTGCTGGGACCTTTGGTCTCAGTCTCACAGCTTGCCTCTCAGCATGTCCACTGTCCACTTAGACATGTAGCCTTTTTGAGATGATCTCTTATTTTTGTTGCGCAGACTCCTTAGTAGAGATAATTATTTTAGGAAAGCTGGGAGGGATGGGGTGGGAAACTCTACTTGTTTCTCTGCCTGGGGGACCGGTTTCATAGACCATAGCACAGTCAGTTCCTCTCGCTGCTGTTTAATGTTCTTAGGAGAGATGTTCTGTCTTGAGTTTTGGAAAAGTCTAAATCAGAGATCTATTTTTTAGCTTTACAAAACAAAATCAATTGCTATAAACAAGTTCCTGGCTGGGTGCAGTGGCTCACGCCTGTCGTCCCCATGCTTTGGGAGGCAGAGGCAGAAGGATTGCTTGAGGCCAGGAGTTCCAGACCAGCCTGGGCAACAAACAAGACCCTGTCTCTACCAAAAAAAAAAAAAAAAAAAAAAAAAAAAAAAAAAAAAAAAAATTCCTAACCACTGTTTGGCCTTAATAATGCCCAGCAGTGGTTGAGCATTAATAATAGTTGGGCCTTCATAATAGTCCTGTTGGGCCTTAATAATAGTCCTGTCTTTACATATTGGACTTTTAAAAAAGAATAAACATTAAGATAATTCAAGAACTTGGGAAAGATTTCCTTGTCATCAAATGTTTAAACAGTTCCTTGAATGCTCGGGGCCACTGACCGTTGCTAATTGGTTTATCATCATCAATCCTGCAGTTTATGGTCACTCCCCTATACTAAGCTGAATCATATCCTCTCCAAACTCACGTCCACTGGAACCTATGAACTAGCTTCCTTATTTAAAAGGGTTTCTTGTGCTACACGGGGAGCAGATGGACTTTGAGCCTTACTGACAATATCACTTAGGAATAATATAAGATCGCTTTTGGCTTTAGTGACATTTCTTGACCTTTGCTTCAAAGGGCTGGGATAGGCTACACGAGTTCAGGACTGGCTCGCTGGTTATTGCAATGCGTACAGAAGTTGCATCTTAATCCTCTACCATAAACATGGCCCTTTGGTGAGTCAGAGAACAGCTTCCTGGAAGGGTAAGACAGTGGTAGTTTCTGACACACCTGTCATTTTGATCCTCCTGGAACGATTTGCTGTCATTCCAGAAGGTATGCATCCCCATCACAGAAGAAAGAAAAAAACATTTCTGATGCCCCCTCTTCTGGCTGGATAGAAGCCCAAGACTCTGACCCAGGTCAGGGCCTGGGAACTGAGACTGGAGTACTGCAGTTAGTGGGGCTGGAGGGAACACCAAAGGAGGCCTGAAGTCTGAGTCCCAGGAAAAGGTAGGCTTGGGAAGCTCATAGCATCCACAGCATTATGTTTAAGGCCTGGGTGGAAGCAAAGGTTCACATCAGGCAGGATGGCAGACTGGGGAGAACTCTCTTGCAGAGAGAACTCTCCACACACAGAAGCCCTGTGGAAGAGTCTAGGGGTGAGATGGGGGGCTAGCTGCCAACAGACAGCTTGGGCAGCCCTTAGAGGATATGACATGGTTCAGCACCAGAACCTAGGAATGATCTTAACAGACAAGGGGGTCCCAGGGTGCCTAAAATTGGGACCAAAGCAAAAGGCAGCCAGATGCAGTGGCTCACATCTGTGATCCCAGCACTCTGGGAGGCAGAGGTGGGAGGATCAGTTGAGCCCAGGAATTCAACACCTGCATAGGCAACATGGCGAAATTCTGTCTCTACAAAAAAATACAAAAAGTTAGCCAGTGTGGTGGTGGACGCCTGTAGTCCAAGCTACTCTGGAGGCTGAGGTGGAAGGATCACTTGAAACCAGGAGGTTGAGGCTGCAGTGAGCCATGATTGCACCACTGCACTCCAGCCTGGGCAACAGAGTGCCCTGTCTTAAAAAAAAAAAAGGAAAAGAAAAAGAAAAGAAAAGCTCTGAAGAGGCTGTCTGGGAGACAGAAGGTATTGGGTGCAAATACAGTCTGAGCCTCGTTGGTGGCAATCACAGTCTTTAATCATTAATTGTCATATTTCTGATTTGTTAGCAAGTGCCAGCTTGTAGGCTGGTTGAAGTACAGAACTCAGAGGAAAAAAGAAATTAAATTTTAGCTTTCTGGAGAGCAGCCCCTCTCTGGCACCATCAAACACTTCTTTGTTTCCCTTCAACTTGGAACTCTTCAAACATCAGGGGTTGTGAGGGTTTGGCCATTCTTTTATCTTGGGTCCATGTGAGTGACAGAAATGGTGCGGCCTGGGAAAGATCTCCCTCCTTTACATTTTCTCTTCTCCCTCCTCCTCCTTATTCTAAAACTGTGCCTCCAACAGAGGGGCAGGGGCTCTTGTAGAGAGATCCCTGGCCCAGGACAGGAGATGCCAAATCTAATTTATCTCACTGAGGGCCTTTGAGAAAAACGCTTCAGGGCCAGGCTCAGTGGCTCATGCCTATATAATCCCAGTACTTTGAGAAGCTGAGGCGGCAGATCACTTGAGGCCAGGAGTTCGAGACCAGTCTCGTCAACATGGCGAAACCCTGTCTCTACAAAAAAAAAAAAAAAAAAAAAAAATTAGCCAGACATGGTGGCCCACATCTGTAGTCCCAGCTACTTGAGAGGCTGAGGCATGAGAATAGCTTGAACCTGGAAGGCAGAGGTTTCAGTGAGCCGAGATTGTGTCACTGCATTCCAGTCTGGGTGACACAGTGAGACTTTGTCTCAAAAAAAAGAAAAGAAAAAAAGAGGCCGGACGCGGTGGCTCACGCCTGTAATCCCAGCACTTTGGGAGGCAGAGGCAGGCGGATCACGAGGTCAGGAGATCGAGACCATCCTGGCTAACACGGTGAAACCCTGTCTCTACTAAAAATACAAAAAATTAGCCAGGCGTGCTGGCAGGCGCCTGTAGTCCCAGCTACTTGGGAGGGTGAGGCAGGAGAATGGTGTCAACCTGGGAGGCGGAGGTTGCAGTGAGCCGAGATTGCGCCACTGCACTCCAGCCTGGGCGACAGTGAGAGACTCCGTCTCAAAAAAAAAAAAGAAAAAGAAAAACGCTTCACTCTTCCAAACCTCAATTTTCTTATGTGTGAAATGGTAAGAATGTGGGTTTATAATTACCTGTGTGTATGCTCATCATACATGACCCCTAAGGCCTTAGGACTCGAGACATTTTATGACCTCTCCCAATAGGGGCAGAGGTGAGCACCCCTGGTGAAAAGTTAAGACTCAGTGAGTATAAATACGCCAAGAAGAGCTGTGGCTTCTTTCACTGGTGTCCTCAGAAAGGCTGTGAGCAGTGTTGGTGGCATACCTGTCACAGCATCTAGCAAAGCACCTGAATTCTAGTATGAATTCAAATACATCTTTTGATGGAAGGAAAGAAGAAGAGGGGAAGGACGGGAGGGAGGGATGGAGTGGAGGGAAAAATTCTGTTGACATCCCATGATAAGGGTGCAGAGGGGCGCTGCACGTCTCTCCTTTCTGCAATCAGCTCTCCCACCCTGGTCCCTCTTCCTTCAAGGGACCCATGAGGACCTCTATTCTTCTCCGTACCTGAGGTTCTCTCAACAGAAAGAAGTTGCAAGTGGGACCTCCTCATGCCACCCTCATCCCCAATAGGAACAATTAGGCCAGGCTTTGATGTCACTGAGGAGGGGACCAGCACGCCTCTGAGGACAGTAGGAAAAACCTAGGCAGGTGTTAGAGCAGGGAGTGGGGTCCCCAGGAGCTGAGGGCCCCAGGATCGACATGATTCTGAAGGTGATTGTCATGGGTGCAGGGAGCAGGCGGCGACACCGTCTAGGCTTCCTGGGGGCCGTCCTGGGCCTCGGCGGCCACGGTGCTGGACTGGAGCAGGAAGTCTTTGTAGGCCATCTCGGCTTCCTCCTTGGATGACTAAGGGGCAAGAGGAGAGGCATCAGTGTTGGGGGCACTGGCTCAGTGGGTGGAGTCAGGGGAGGGGAGGTGCTTAATGTCCTGAATTCGTGATCTTGGTCCAAGCAACACAAGCCTTTGGGGCCCACTGTTCTCATCCCAGCCCCCATGCTCACCAAGAAGGACGCATTTTGAGAAATGGAAAGTTGCAGCCTCTAAAAATATCTTCTTCTGTCTCACTACCTCCTTCTGACACACGGAGTGGAACCGCCTCTGTTGCCCGGGCCTGTCCCCGGAAGCTGCCCACACAGTCCACGGGCAAGGTGGCCTAGGCTGGGGTCAACCACGGTGGTGTATGTTTTTCTTTCTCCACCAGCCCAGACAGGTAGCTTTTTGGCACCACAAAGTTAAAGGGGAAGGCTGTCCCAGGAATAACTCGTTCTAACTTTGCTAAATGCCAGAGATGTTTCAAGAAAAAGTAGATATGATAAAAACAACAACAACAACAACAAAAACTCTCACCTCGGGATTAAAGGCATGAGATGTTATTTTTCTTGGTCCCCTGAGTCCTAGGGCAGATTGAGGGGATGGTATATGGCACCCAAGGCAGGAGTTGCCTCTGGTGGGGCTTCAAGAGAAGTGAGCAGGGGCTTCTAGCCTCAAACTGCCCACCGCAAGCAAATGTCTCCTAGGCCCAGGCAAAAAGCTGGTCCTGAGCAAACCCTCAAGGGAGGATGTGTGGCCTGAGGTCCTTGGGTCCCCCAACCCAGGAAGAGCATCCATTTAATCACCAGCATTTGGCATTGTAGCTTCCCATCTTTTATGCACCTGCTTTCCTCATCTCCTGGCCTGCCTCTCTCCTGCAGTTTTACAGCCTAATCATATAGCTCACCTCCTTCCTGGGCCTTATCCACATCAGCATCCCACAACCAGTAAGATATAGTTCTTCCTCAAAAAGTCCTGAGGACTCCTGAGGACTATTTATATCATCCTCCCTATTCTGGGATCGGCCCCCATGTTGAGGTAGTTCTTTCTGAAGTCTAACTGCATCCCCTCATGCTGCATTTCTTTGTCATGTAGTGGGGCTTCCTTCTTCCTCCTCACCCTTTTTGCCTTCTTGGGTTCTTTGGTCTCTGTGGTGCTCTCAGTGGTGGCAACAAACTCTGTGTGAAGAAAGAGGGTAGGTTAGCCCTTACTAGCCTCCTTTTCCCAACCCAGATGTGAGACCAATTCTTACTCTCCCCAGGGGCTGAGCATTCCCTTGAGTGAGGGTCATACCTTCTTTTCCTCCGAGGGATGTCTCCTGAGTGATCGAAGAGGCTCCCATGTTGTCATTGGCTCCAAATTCCCTGGAGTTCTCGAAGTCTGACATGCTAATGTCTGTCCTGTAGCTTCTGATTGAAACTCGGTCTGTCCGGGAGGAAGAGGAGTTGGTGTAAGGACAGGGGCTGGGACCTAGAAGGCCAGGCTGGGCTGCTTCTCTCTGGGCGGATCCACTGTAGCCCTGCAGGACAGCTGAGGTGGTGCAGCTCTGACTATGACCCAGGGGGATGGAAATGATCCGAGTCTCCTCCCCAGTCCCTTTTCCTGGGTAATCAGGACTTGGTAATCCCTGATCTTTGTCACTCTGGGACCTTTCAATGCACAGCATCTCCTTTGGTCCTCACATCAGCCCCGTGAGGTCCTGATTATCATCCTTGACTTGAGCCATGAGGAAACTGAGGCATGGCATAAGGATGGCTCAATGTCACACAGCTCATTAGTTATCCAATTAGTCCAAGCCCAGGGTCTCCTGAAACCCAATCTCCTCTTCCTGGCAGCCCTGTCTCTGAACCTAGATCCTGGGTAATTGGAGATGATTTTCCAGTGTTAGTATTTGGACAGCAGCTCTGAATTTCAGTTTCGAGTATGTGTGGGTTTATCTTTCCCCATCCTGCTTTCTCGGGATCCTTTGTTTTAGCTCATGAAAAAGAAGAGACACAGCAGCTTCCTCTATGGGTGGATGATTCAGGACTGAGGGCTCGGGTTGGAGGTGGGAGGCAGGGAGTATCCCAGGGACTCACCGACGTTCTTCCTGTGCCGGGCTCTGGCCACCCCCACAGCCACGGCTCCCACTGCCAGCACCAGGCCCAGGGGCACCAGGGTGGAGACCAGCGCTCTGGAGCTTCCACCTTGTTCCTCAGAGCTGGAAGAAGGCTTAAGTTAGTTCATCCCTGGAAGGGAGATCTGGGGGCCCGACGATGTGCTGGCAAGGTTGGCTTAGTCCTTTTTCCTCCCAGGTTTATCCACCCCACCCTGCTGATGCAGCTCCCTAGCTCTGTTCTTCTAAGAAGCCTTCCCAGACTGGCAAAGGCACGCACTGGGCCTTGTTGCATCCTAGGCCTGGAAGATTGAACTGAATTGTAAACACCTCCCCAGCCATGGGAGAAGGGCAGAGGGTACCATAGGACCCTCCCACATATAAGCAGAGGTAGTAAGGGCTGCCCCAGTGCTCAAGAGACAGATGGGCTTTCCTCCTTGGACCTGGTGGCCCAGCCTCAGGTGCTCGGCTCTGGGGTGTTCTCCGAGTGGGGAGCCTTGAATCCTTCCTTACCTGCCGGAATCCACAGATGCTCTGCTCCCATCGGCTTGATCTCTTGTATCTGCCACCGCCTTTTCCTCTGCAAAAAGCCTGGGATCCTGAATGGCTTTGTTCTCAATCTCCCGAAAACCAGAGTCTAGCACCTTCTCATCAGGAGCAGCGTCTGCCTTCGCTAGGCTGACATCGCGGGACCCTGCAGCAGGGAAGAGTGGGCCTGGGTTGTGATTTTTCTCTATGCTCTTACTCCTCGAGGTGAAGGAGTCTGGGGGAGACTTCATGAGGAATCACAGGGTCAGGGTTCGATCTCAAGGCTGTTGGGGTAGGACCCAGGATGACATTAGAAACAGCTGTGATGGCCTTCTTCAGCTGTCACAGATGATCTCTGCCCCATTACTACCAAAAGTATAGTGGGGACCTTCAAGGCTTCGTGTCATAGACCAGCTGTGCATAAAGGCTGACCCATCACTTATGCCCGGGAGATTTTCAAGGCTCTGAGACGCTGCCCCAGGCTTCCTGACTGCCCAGCTGGGTATGATAGTGCTGCCCCCTGGAGGTAGCCTGGCGATGGGCCCCTCAGTGAGTCCCATCCGCAGGGTCCAGACCCAATAGGATTTCTTGAGGGACTACAAATACCCTTATTAGGGCTAAAACATTTCATGTGAAATTTTAAAAGGGGACTTGAAATGCAAATTTACTAGATGTTTCCTAATTTTCCTGATCAGACCTTGTAAATGAAGGTATCTGGCCCTCTTTCGAGGGCGAGCTTTGGCAGGGGGAAGGGGGATGAACATATTGCATATGACAGTGATGTATGCATATTATTCTTCTATACAGAGAAGAATATTTCCAGATATAGAAGAGACTTCAATCTGGGTTGAAGTGGCAACTATGGGACTTGTCTTTTTTTTTTTTTTGAAATGGAATCTAGCTCTGTTGCCTAGGCTAGAGTGTGGTGGCACGATCTCAGTTCACTGCAACCCCTGCCTCTTGGGTTCAAGCAATTCTCATGCCTCAGCCACCCAAATAGCTGGGATTACACCACCATGCCCAGCTAATTTTTGTATTTTTAGTAGAGACGAGTTTTCTCCATGTCAGCCAGGCTGGTGTTGAACTCCTGGCCTCAAGTGATCTGCCTACCTCGGCCTCCCAAAGTGCTGGGATTACAGGTGTGAGCCACCACATTCAGCTGGGAGTTGTCTTAATGCCGAGGTTAAATAGCAAACCCACTATTTTTACTTAGTTGGTATGTTTATTTGAGATGTCCCTTTTGAAGGGCTCAACGAGGCTATATAGGACCTAAATGTCCCCTCCCTTCCCACTCTCCACTTTCAGCCTCTTACAGCCAAACATAGGGGCCAGCACTGATTGAGAAGCTCTCAGGCAGGGGCCTTCAGGAAGTCCTGCCTCTGGGTCTGAGGGGTGCAGGCCCTGTCCTTGGAGACTCACCCGCTGCCTTCCTCTCTTCAACTGCCACATAGACGGCTGCAGTCTCTCCATAGAAGTGGCCCTGCTTCACTCCACACCAGTACCAGCCCTCATCAGCCCTGGTCACCAGGTTCAGGGTCAGGGAGACAAGCCGGCTGTTCTCGTCACAGTTCACGAAGGCCTTGCTGGGGCCTTCGTCTTGGCTGGGCAGGGCCTGGCAGCCCGTGTTATTCCACTTGCACCAGTATTTCTCGTACGAGGAGAATTTGCATGGAAAGTGACAGGGGACCTTGAGAGTCTCTCCCAGCACAGCCGTGACATTCCCTGGTACCTTGAGGTTTGGTTCTCCTGGAGGAGGGAGGGAGGTAGAAATAAACACAGAAGTTGGTACTTGGAGATGCTGCAGGGAAGTGACTCTGGTGGGAATCTTTGTCCACATGTCATATACATATATATATATATTTTTGTTTTTGTTTTTGAGACAAGGTCTCTCTCTGTCACCCAGGCTGGAGGGTAGTGGTGCGATCATAGCTCACTGCAGCCTCCATCTCCTGGGCTCAAGCAATCTTCCTGTCTTGGCCTCCCAAGGTGCTGAGATTACAGGCATGCACCACCATGTTCAGTCTACATATCCTCTTTGGATAGCATTAGAAATAAGTATGTTATTCTGACTACAGAAGAAATGTAATTGTGTGCCTAGGTAATAATTATTATTGATGAGCACCATGATCAATCCAGAGTCTACCATAGACCATAGATCTTCACACATGGACTTCAGTTTGCTTTCCTCACTCTTCCTTCTCTTCTAGACTCAATACAAAGAGGTATCTGCAATCCTTGACTTCAGCTGATGCCTGCACACTGCGAAAGAAGCCCATGTTCTTGGTAGTAGGAGGTACCATGTATGGTAATTCAGAGTGTAAGGTGCGTGTTATAGGCATGAAAATGTGACCTCTGGATAGGTGGGCTCCCTCCTGAGGTCTGGCCCATCAGGGTGGAGGCGGGTGAAAAAGGAGGAAGAGTGGTTGGGGATGCTGCTGCTGGCTGGAGAGGTTTTAGAGCTTTCTCCCTCCCTGTCAACTCCTACCTTCGATAATCTTGATCTCCACGGTGGTCCTCCAGAGAGTATCGCCGTTGGTCAGACACCAGTAGAAGCCGGCGTCCCGGCTGGTGAGCTGGTTGAGGATGACAGTGAAGGTGCCGTTGCCTGGCTCCTCCAGCAGGGAGAGGCGGCCCTCGTACTGGGCCTTAACCCACCCCTCGCTGTCCACCAGCAGGGGGCAGCGGCCATTCTGGGCCCCTTCCCAGAGACACCAGTACTTGATGCTTTTGCTTTCCTTACGGTTGTAGGGGCAGAGCACGGCCACAGAGCCTCCTGCCACCCCCTTCACCACAGTGGGGCTGCGGGGAATCGTGGACTCTGGAAGCACAGACAGAGATGGGATGGGAGGATGGCCACGCAGGAAGAGCCTTGCGTGGCCTGAGAAGCCTTCTTCCCGGGGTCTCAGCCAGGATGGGGAGTGAAGTTTACACGCATCACCTTACCCTCTTCAGAAAATGAAAAGGAGCTTTCCTAATGTCACAGAGCCTGCAGCTGGAGCCATCAGGGCCAGACTCCAAGGGCTTGGAGTCTCCCCATCAGCCTGCACATGTTGTTCTTTTCCCCCATCTTATTCTGAGCAGAGAATGGAAGGAGTTGAAGGAGAGGATATCAGCTCTTCTTTGGCTTCTTACAAAGTCTCCCTCTGTGTAGGTTTTTGTCTATTTAGTACACTAACAAGTGTATTCCACAAAAGTGGCCCAATGGATTATGCCCAAATCAAGAAAATATATTTAGGATGGTATGATGTAAACTATAAAGTATGTAGCAAAGGTGAGCTTAATTGTTGGGGCCCCAAGGGGCATCTCAAAGACGATAGCCATTCTCCAGGCAGCTAAAGCTGAGATCCAGAGAGAAGCAGGTGACCAAAGATGCAGGGGATTCTGGTGAAAACCCAGAGCTGGATGTGGACATGGCATGCAGAGAATATAAGCCCCTTTAAAAAAAAAAAGTCACAAGCACAGATACTTGGAACTGCAAGTACTGGTTTGCTGCTTCTCACGAGGGCAACTCTATGCAGGGTGCTCTGGGATGAGAAGGAGCTGGGATTTAATTCTTTCACCATGCTGATGGCTCACTGGAGTAGGGCTGAGTGGGCCAGATGGTGCTGAAATTCACAAATAACCCTACGAAATGTGACAGTGAAACATTTAGAGGCTGGGGCACTCCTGGGAACGCATTGAGACCAAGATAAGCCAATCCTTTTTCCATCTGAATGTGAGGGATGAGGCACCCATCTTGTTCAGGGGCCAGGGGAGGGGACAGAGGACCCCTGCAGAGCCTGCCACAGCCCTGAAACACAGTCTATAAGTCCTGCCTCAATCAAGAGCTTTACTCACCTCTTGCTTGTTAAGCAGGGACAGCCATCAAAATGACTTTGATAACAGAAGAGTAATTAGGAGCTGCCATCAGGCAGAGGTTGCTTTTTCTTGCTGTCCTGTGCAGCAGCCCACGCAGCCTCCAGTTCGGGGCTGGTCATTGAGTGGATGCTGTTGGCTGATTGATGACTATTGATGAATACACTCAGAGGGAGCTGAGCTTGGCTCTCACCTGCGAGACTGCCCCACCTACTCCCCCTCCCTCTCTAGGGTCTTACCCTCATTGACGAAGAGTTGCCAGGCCTGGATAGGCGAGCCTTCCTGCAGCTGACCATCCGAATGGGCTCCACACAGGTAGCGCCCTGCATCCTCCTTCCTCAGGCCTGTGATCACCACACTGAATGAGCCATCCTTGTCCTGGGGGTTGAGCAGGATCCTGCCCTCAAAGGCTGGGGCCCTCTTCCCCAGGGTGTTGACGACCACGTCACAGTTTTCCCCACTGCTCTGTCGGCACAGAAATTTGGCCACGTTTGCCACCTCAGGGCCCAGGGCACAGTGGAAGGTCACTGAGCCCCTCAGGTCTTCATAAACCAGCTCGGGCTCGGGCTTTAGCACTTGGAGGTCAGCATTCTTCTTATTACTATTGGAATCATCCCCAGCCTGGCAGAGATACTGCCCAGCATCGCTGAGCCTGAGTTGGTTGATGACAACGCTGAACAGTAACTGGCCAGTACCCTGAATATCAAGGCGTATTCTTCCTGTATAGTTGGGATTTACATAACCACTGGAGTCGATGACCAGCACAGGGTACAGGCCTATCTGCTTGTACAAGGACTTCCTCTTTTGAGCATTCTCAGTCTTGAAAGGGCAGTTGATGGTCACCGTTCTGCCCAGGTCCACTGTGTAGACTTTAGTGTCATTTAGGAGCCCAGGACCTGCAGGATGAGGGGTGCAAGGTAGGGGGCAGGCAAGTTACGATTCTACTTTCTTGCAACATAGGACTATTTGCTATTCCTAGTTAGGGTGTGGGTGGACTTATAACCTGGAATGCCCTCCTTCCCAGAGGAATGCTGTCGGAAGGCCCAGCTTGACAGCGGTCTTCTCCATGAAACCTTTCCCAAGCTAACACTAATCTCTCCCTGCCCTGTGCTTTCTTGATACATCTGCATCACTTATTACATCCAATCTGGTGTATGGGTAATTATGTTCTCCATGGACTGGAAGTTCCTTGAAGGCTGGAACATGTTTTTCTCATGTTTGACCCCTCTGCTGTGACAAGCACAATGCCTCTGGGTAGTAGGTGGCCAAATTAATGTGTGCTGAAATGAACAGAATGAATGTAAATGCAGGGTGATGGATTTCAACGCATACAATAGAAGTTTCTAAAAATTACAAGAGTCTAAATGTGAAATGGGCTGTCTCAGGGAGCAGTGAGTTTCTGCTAAAGTGCTTAATCAGAGGCTGCATACCCGTCATCAGCATGTTCTTCTAAGTGTCCGGTTAGGGTGAACTCTAAGCCCTCTTCACCTCTAAAGATTCTGTGGTTTTGAATCTTGATCCCCACCTAAATGACCTCCTCATTTAGTCCACAGACAATAGTATGCATATTCCAAAGGAGCAAGACATGTCTTTGGGAGTCCCCCTGAATTTCTTTTCTCCGTAGACCTCTCTTTTGAGTTGCCCTTGACTATCTAAAACAGCCTCATTGTTAAACCCTTGTCAGAAAGAGCTTTTCTTTTTTTCTCTTTCTCCAACTAGAATAGGCTTGTTAGCAACCCATCCTTTCAGGATCTTGGTCTTTGGTCAAGATCTAATAATCTAATTTACCCTGATAATACCAAAAGACTAAGGGTTCCCAGGTTAAAAAAAAAATATGCATTTTACAAGAAGCCTTTTGGCGGCCCAAACCTTGATGGAAAGGTGCATTAATGATAGGAATTTAAGGATCCCTGTAAATCTCTCCCTACCTTTTCTATCTCCTTAGCCTGATGTCAGATTTCCCTTTCTACCTGTAGCAAACACCAGAAAACTTGTCCTTCTGATACCCTTCTAAGCTGGGGTCTCCAGAAAGCCTAAAATGTTATAGGCCACCAAGTCCTAGAAGGGTTCACTCATCACCCCCAAGTAGGCCCTATCTGTCTCCTTCTCCTGTTAAAGAAGTCTTTGCCTGGGGAAAGGGGTGCCTTCTGACCCCCAACCCGGCTACACATCCTTGTCAGGAAGTTCCTCCTCAAGCCCTCCATGCACCTTAGAGAATTCCCTCTAACTTTCCCCCAGAAGCCCAAGGAGCTTGGATCCTTACCCTGGCTGACCTCCAGGCTGACATCAAAGGACAGGCCTCGGCTATTGATGCCCAGGCCACACTTGTAGCGCCCGGAGTCATCCTGGCTCAGCTGGGCAATGTTCACCACAAATGTGCCGTTCTCCGGGAAGTTGGTGAGGTTAGCCCTGCCTGCATATTTGCTGGAGACGTAGCCCTCCGAGGAGATGAGGGTTATGCAGCCACCTCTAGCTCCCTGCCGGCACCAGTACTTCCGGGTGTGCCGGTTGACAGAGGTGGGTGGGTAGTAGCACGTGATGGACACTGAGTTACC
This sequence comes from Homo sapiens, assembly GCF_000001405.40. Taxonomy (NCBI): domain Eukaryota; kingdom Metazoa; phylum Chordata; class Mammalia; order Primates; family Hominidae; genus Homo; species Homo sapiens. The sequence goes on from NC_000001.11 coordinate 206,939,411, forward strand.
TTCCACACTATTCACCTCCTCGGGACCAAATATGGGACTCTTCGTGGAGATGGCTGTGGGAACAGAAGAGAGAGGCTTTCTGAGGCCCTTGGGAGGTAAAGCCTGTTCCAGATAACCCACTATGAGTAGATGTGGTTTTCTACCTGACACGTAGGCCCTGTGTTGATAATTTATCATATATCACAGCTGGAAAATTGCTGAGATTAAATAAAGTGACTGTTTTAATCATGATTAAATTGGAATTGTTATTCATTAATGATAACCATTTCAAGGACAAGGGAATGACAAATTTATGATAACCCTTGTTTTTTATTTTATATATTTTTATTGTTTTGAGACAAAGTCTCTCTCTGTCGCCCAGGCTGGTGTGCAGTGGCACGATCTCGGCTCACTGCAACCTCCGCTTCCCAGGTTCAAGCGATTCTCATGCCTCAGCCTCCCAAGTAGTTGGGACTACAGGTGCATGCTAGCTAATTTTGGTTTCTATTTAGTAGAGACAAGGTTTCTCCATGTTGGCCAGGCTGGTCTTGAGCTACTGACCTCAAGCAATCCACCCTCCTTGGCCTCCCAAAGTGCTGGCATTACAGCTGTGAGCCAGCATCCAGCCATCCATTGTTTTTTCAAACAATAACACCACTTTCGTAAGGTGTTACATGTTTGCACTTGCCATGTGTTATTTCCTTATATTTCTAAAAGCACTTTGTAGATGATTTTCTTTTCTTTTTTTTCCCCCAGATAAAAATATTGAGAGCCAGAAAGGATAAGTGACTTCCCTCAGATTTCACAGCGGGTCATAGAGATGCTTGGTTGAAGTTAAGGTCTTTGTTATTCTCAAAGAAGATCTTTCACAGACCCCTGGCCTTGAGATTAGGAAGTGCCATTCCTGTCCCTGACTTCCAATGCTCACAGATGTGGCCTTTCAGTGTCTTCTCTGTATGACTCTTCCTCAAGGAAGTGCCAACTTTGAGAGGGACATCCCTGGGGATGAGTCTGATTTTAGTGTCCCCAGGGAGGTGAACCCTGGAGTCGGGCAGGCTGAAGGGGTGGAGCTTGGAGAGTTGGGGCCTGGCAGACACACCTGGGAAGACCGCCAGCAGGCAGGTGAGCACGAAGAGCAGCATTGCTGGTGGGTCCCGAGCGCCGCACCACTCAGGCCGACTTCTCCTGTGCAATGCTGAAAAACAATAATCACAAGGAGATGAAGCGCCCCTTGTCTTCCAAGACTAGTTGACCTTAGAGTTTCTGTGACATCTATTTGGCTTTGTATCTCCAGCAACTGACATAAATCCTGTTGAATGAATCAGTGCCTCCACTTTTTCCATAACAATTCAAAGTCTTATCATCCTTCAACACTTGTATATCCTTAATAGCTAGAAGTAGCTTTTGTCTTCTCAACTAAGCTGCAAGCTCCTTTGGGATAGAGATATTGTGTCATTTGCTCTGTTTCCCTGCCCATGAGACACAGTCCCAGGCACACCGTAAGATCTCAGGAATGGCTTGCTGGGTGATTGGTTCCTACCAATACGTGGCCCCCATCTCTCTGTTTCAGCTGCCCTCCCTACATTCCTGGGAGGTGAAGCGGGCTGACATATTTCACAGTGTGTTCAGATGAGGAAACTGAGACCCACAGAGGAGGTGTCATGATTATTAAGGCTGTAAATGTAATGATGATGGTCCTAACCCCATTGATTGCTCCCTTATTCTGTCTCAGGCACTGTGTTGAATAATTTATGTGTACTATCTCATACAGACTTGATATCAGCCCTGTGAGGTTAGTATCCTTATCCACATTCACATGGGAGGAAATGAAGGCTTCAAGGTTAAGTACTTTCCTCAAGGGCACATGGGGTTAAATGTGTGGGGGTACACAGAATGGGGGTCGGGGAAGATTTGGGCCCACCTTTGTCTGACTGCAAAGTCCATGTGCTTAACCTCTCCACTACTGTATCGCACCCCAAATACAAGAGCATGCTTTTACCTTATGCTTATTTGTGTTATTTGTAGAGACCCTGTTGCTTATGAAAGCACTACCATTTACATTATTTCATTTGAGCTTTATATGTTCCCTTGAAATAAGACAGACGGGTATAATCACAACCATTTTATGGATAAAACATTGAGGTCTTGAGATGCTGAATGATAGGCTTACGTTTTCCCAGCAACTTGGTTATGGAATTGGGGTTAAAAGCTTAGGTGTTAGGGTCTTTGTAATCCTGCCTGGTAAGGCCTGGCAGACAAAGATGAAGAATCGAAGATGAGACCACTCAGACGGAGCAGCCTGTGTGGACTTTGTCTCCACCGTGGACACAGCCCAGGGCTGAGGAGAGTTGAGGGTCCCAGGGGTCTGCCTGACAGCAGCTGTCATCAAGACCCCAACTACAGCCTAGAGGAGGAGACAGAAGTCTCCACTTTCCCAGACTTTGACAGACTTTAAACTTTGGAGTTGTCTTGACAAAGAGAGTGTTAAATGATCGTAAGTTTGGGCAGTAATGAGTGCCCATAAAGATAAGGACGCTGTAAGCAGGAGGAAGCTGGGCGTTATCTCCCAGACCTCCCTCACCACCCTGGCCCCTGCTCCTGCTCCCAGACTCCCTTCACCAGCTTGAGCCAAAGGCAATAGAGTTGTTTATCTTGGTTATTTCTTTGTTGCAGGGGAATTTCCCAGCAAGGAACCTTTTATTTCCTTGTGAATATAAAGGTATTTTGTTTCTGCAGTTCTTTGGAAGAATAAAGGGAGGGAGTGGGAACAAATATGGGTGTCAGATGGCAACGTTGAGGCTCTCTTGAGTCCGGTTAATTGCCCCAGACCTTTCTTACCAGGTCAATGATTAATGCCTGGAGTGGGGCCTTGGCCAAATACCAGTCAGCTCCAACATGGAAGCAATCAGGGGACACTAGCTGGGATGTCATCACCTGCGTGGGCACTGCAAGCTGCCATGGGAGATGCTCCCAGGTGGGAGCAGCTTTCAGGAGGCCAGGAAGTCTCAGAAACAGTTGGGATGGGCTGGCTGCAAAGTCCTGGGAGATCTACCATTTTCTACTTGTGCTGGCACAGGGTGGGTGCAGTCACAGGTGGGAGGACAAAATGCTGCCTGCTTTTAAGAACCCACACCAGCAGCAGCTGTCCTTGCTTCTTGTTCCTGTCCTCACCTCTAGATAAGCAAGCTGCCTCATATTTGCGTGAGACAGGAGTGGTCTTCCCACAAGCTGAGCTGGGGGATGCAGCCCTCCTCTGGACTTGGCCTGGGTTGCAGAGAGTCAGATGCCAGCTTCTCCAAGGTGAAGACCACCCTGACCTCTGTCCCAGACTTCTCATTTTGTGACATGTTTGGGTGGCTGTGCATGTTTGTGTAGAGAGGGGACATGTGTGTGCACCCATTACCCTCTGCATGGTCTCAAGCCAGGGATGAGAGCATCAGGCATGCACAGGCAGGTCGGGCAGATGGCAACATCAGCGGGATGCACACAGTCCAGTCCTAGATGGGATGATTGGCAGGAGAGGATACCCCTGCTTTCAGGAACAGGAGCTCTTCTTTGCCCAAAGCTAAAACTTGAAGCACAATTTCTCTAGTAGCATTTGAAAGGACCTCGAGCTTTCAGAATCATTACAGACCCCTTCCTCTCAAAACCAGAGACTTTCTTCCAAACCTGGGGATTCAAATCTCGGGAGACCTCCCCAGCCCAGGGTGGCTGGGGCTGGATTTAAAGGATTTGCTTAAGGAAGGAAGAAAAAGAACATAATGTTGGGCACCTGCTACGTGCCAAATGCTTTGCTAGGTTCTTTTCTTGTAAGACTTCATCCATCAGCACAACAACCCAAGAGATAGATGTTGTTATCCTCATGACACAGGTTGGAAATCTAAGGGTTATAGGGATTCTCGACCCCAAGACCCACAGCAGAATCCTAATTTGAGGTCACTACCCCATTATCACTCTTTAAATGAGCAAAGGGACCTGCTTTATTGGGTTTTATATATATGATATTATATCATGCATGAGGGCACGTTTTCTGGTCCTTAAACTAGCAGTTGTTTTTTCACTGCTGAGGCTAGGATGTGCTAGATCATTTTCAGTTTACTAAGTTAGTATCCCAACATATGTGTAACATATGTCCCCACAATTGTGGATTGGGGCAGGAGTGTAAGCTGTGCTGAAGGATAGTTTTTCTTTTTATAAAATGTATTTAACTAGCTCCTGTTCAGTTAAAGTGACTGCACTTCATCTCTCATGGTGTGGAGTCCAAACCTTTGTCCATCTAATCTCAGGTTTCCCTCTTTTTCAGAGGAAGAAAGGTCCCCTGGACTTGGTATGAGAGTAGAAGTCTGCTTGCTGGACATCCTTTGAAGATAGAGAGATGGAGAGTGAGCTACTTAGGTTGGACTCATGTGGATAAGAGAGGAGACAAGCACTATGGGCTAGGCTAGAAGAACGTACGCTGAGTCCTTTCCAGGTGCTTTACATGTGTTAATGTGTTCCATTTTTACAGCCACCATAGGAGATGGGACAAAATGGGCAACCCCATTTCATGAGTGAGATAATTGAGGCACAGAGAGGTGAGACATTTGCCCAAGGTTGCACAGTTGGTAAGTGACTTAGATGGGATTCTAGATCAAGAGCATAGGCCCTTAGCCACTCTGCTTTACCTCAGAGGGTCTTCCTATTGAGAGGAAGCAGTGGAGAGAGGAAGAAGCAGGATATTCAATCTTAGCGAACTGAGAATTTGTTCAGTTCTTTCCTCTCTGCCTTTCACGGAAAAGGCAGTTCTTATAAGGAGACACCTGGGGCCGGGCGTAGTGGCTCACGCCTGTAATCCCAGCACCTTGGGAGGCTGAGGTGGGTGGATCATGAGGTCAGGAGTTCAAGACCAGCCTGGCCAACATGGTAAAACCCCATCTGTACTAAAAGTGCAAAAGTTAGCTGGGTGTGGTGGCATGGGTCTGTAATCCCAGCTACTCAGGAGGCTGAGGTAGGAGAATCGCTGGAACCCAGGAGGTGGAGGTTGCAGTAAGCCAAGATCACGCCACTGCATTCCAGCCTGGGTGACAGGGCAAGATTCCATCTCAAAAAAATAAAAAATTAAAAAATGAAGAGACACCTGGACCCAGAGGTAGGTGCCAACAGAGAAATTTCTTCCTGGAAAATATTAGCTGCTATTTATTTAGCACCTACCATGTGTAGGATATGTTACATAACCATGGGTATAACCAGGCATGTTGACGCCAAAGCCTCTTTCCACTCCACCATACTGTGTCGATGCCAGTGACATTGGGACTCCAGCCCCAGCCCCTCCAGAGAGAGGGCAAGACATAGATGAAGGTCTCTGCTGAGCACAATGCATAGGTATTTTTTTTTAAGTTGGATAGTTTGCTTTTTAGGTGACATCAAAATGTCCTCATGACCATATCAAAATGGCTGTACCAAAACCTCATCGTTCAAACTTGCTGGTGACTTCACACCACTCACATAGACTCACGGTGTCTTGGTTTCCTCAACTAGGGAATGACATCACAAAACCAACCCTGCCTACCTCCTCGTTGGTATCAAGGGAGAATGAGACGAAGGTGTGAAAGCCCAGGGCAAGTGGGTTTACTAAATGGAAGCCTGTGTGACCCCATTTTTTATCACCTAAAGCCACAGAGGTCTAGCGGCACTAGGAGATAAGCAGAGAGAGTTGCTTTCCTGACTCCTGGCTCAGTGTTCTTTCTGCTACTTTAGCACATCCAGGGGCGGGACAAGGATGGAGAGAGAATTCCAGATCTGGCTCTGGGAAGACCTATGTCCAGGCACCAGACAGCTGCCTTCTACCTAAACCCCTGAAATTGGCATCTCCTCTCCAGATGTTAAAGGATCTATAATTCCCCTAGTGAAGGGGGAAAGTGATGGCACAAAATAGGAGCAGCTTCAATGGCCCCAGGCACTGTGGCAATTGCACAAAGGGAACTGGGGGTCAGGGATGGAGCTTGACCCGCTGCTGCCCTTGTGCCGGACGGTCCCACTGCTGGCTTGGGCTGCTGTCAGGATGGGCAAAGGGAGGGGAAGCCCATGTCTGAGATCTGCTGGCTGCAGAGCCAGGAGGAACAGCAGGAGTTGATCATGCTGCCTGTGGGGCTCAGCTCCACCTCACTCAGTGATCCCGTGAGGACCTCTTTTTTTCTACCTCTAGGAAGGGCAGGATGATGCGATGACACACATTTATGTCTCCCATGGCAGGAATCTGCTAGAGCAAAGCGAGGTGGAATTGCAAAGGATTTCAGAGGTTCTTGGAAGCCCAGAAAAAAGGAGCTGAACATGCCTTTGCCAGAAAGCCACAAGTGGGAAACCTCAAAGAATGGAAGAGGACTTGCTAGGTGCCATACTTTATGCGCACTATCTAATTCCAGGTCTGTTGGTGTTCAATAAATCCTTGATTAATTAAACTAAACTGAAAAATATGAAACAATTCCTATTTCATTCTAGAGGTTACAAAGCTATTTCACCTGTGTTTTCTCATTTGAACCCACATTGACCCTGAATGATAGGTGTTATTTCTATCTTTGTTTTACAGATTAAGAAACTGAGGATCAGAGAGGTTAGGTGGCTTGTCTAAGGCCACACAGTTAATCAACTATGAGGAGTTAGGAAATCCAGGCACAGACCAAGCTGAAAGAGTAGAATTACATATGCTGACCACAGAGGTCCCTTCCCACCTGCTGATATTTCTCAGAAAAGGATGGGGGGCTTCCACACACGTGCATCCCTACTCGTCCCACTGCGATATGCACGCTTACTCCCCAGCCACACACAGTCACACAGTCTGCCTCCTTGTCCTTGTCACCCCACTATCTAGGAGACTGGGAGTTGGGAATGGAGGGGGTTACCTGAGCCATCGTCCCGAGCCCTTTCCAGATAGCATCCCGTCTGGGGATCCCAGAGCAGTAACACTTACTTTTAGCCACTTCCTTCTCTCCCGTTGATCTGACTTCAGGGACACAGCCTGCTGGCCAGTTGGTAACCCCTGCCTCTCTAGGAGCTACTGGCAGGGCACTGGACGCTGCTGCCAAAACTGAAACTCTGCTCAGTGTTTGACCCACACCTGGGCTCTTAAAGGGCCACTCTCCCACAGGCACCGTGGCCAGCCAGGGTCATGTGACTCTCACAGATCCCTTGCTTTCCTTTCATTTTGGCCTTCCTGGCTGGCTCCATTTGGTTTCCTTTGACCTTGGGGAGACTCTGTTACTTGGGAATCCTCCATCGTTGCAGCTTCAGGATGAGGGACAGAATGTCAAGCGTGAAGATGCTGTTCTGTCGCTTTCTAGCTGCAAGACCTTTGGCAAGTCACCTTCCTATTTCTTTTCATCTGGAAAAGAGGGATGGTAATACCAAATCTACAGGTAGAGGATATAGCCCGGTATTAGCTCTAAAATACCTGGCCCAATGCTTGATTTGAAGTTGACATCATCTGATGGGGCACAGGTGGCAGGAGTGGCTGTCGTAGTCCTTGGTCTCATATCCCCAGTTGCTCTGGAATCCCCTCCGACTCCCTAGGTTACTTAGCCTGGACAAAAATGCCCCTTATACACCTCCTGCCAAGCCCCTTTTACCAGTCCCAGAGCTCCAGGAACTGGCAGGACTGTGGCCCTTCCTGTTTCACTCCCCAGAGTCATGAAAGACTCGCTGCTTCTGGGCTCCCCTGAACATGGCTGACCTCAGAGTCTTGTTAGGACCCGGGCTCGGCTCCATAGCAAGGACGGTGCTGACCTGCTGAGCTGAAGTAGCACCTCCTTCCCTATCTGTTAGTCCATGCCAAAACATGACCTGGTTGGGACTCCCAGGTGTTCCCCAAATGATCGTGGCAGTCCTGTGACAAAAGTGAAGCCCACTCCCCAACACACACGTGTATGGCCCCCCGACCCCTCACTGCAAACCCCCACAGAAATGCTGCCCATCCTACCTGTGCAGGGCTGACCCAGGCTCTCCCTACAGAGTCCTATAGGCCAAACACCAGAAGGGGAAGGAAAAATAGAGAAATAGAGCCCTGGAGAAACACAAGGCAGCCAGAGCCCTGGGTCTTATTTTAGCTAACCACTGGCTCACTTGTGGGTGTTAACACACAATCACAGATTTCAATGGCAAGCAAAAAAACCCCATAATTTCTTTATGTAGCTTAATTTCTCTCTTTTTTTGTGGTTTGCAAACTTAGATTTTCTTTTTTTATTTTGTTTTAGGTTCCAGGATTACATGTGCAGAACGTGCAGGTTTGTGACACAGGTAAACGTGTGCCATGATGGTTTCCTGCACCCGTCAACCCACCACCTAGGTATTAAGCCCCACATGCATTAGCTATTAGTTCTAATGCTCTCCCTCCCCCCACCCCCCCCAACAGGCCCGGATGTGTAATGTTCCCCTCCCTGTGTCCGTGTGTTCTCATTGTTCAGCTCCCATTTATGAGTGAGAACATGTGGTGTTTGGTTTTCTGTTCCTGTGTTAGTTTGATGAGGATGATGGCTTCCAGATGTAGCTTAATTTCAAACCCTAAACCCATAATCTGACTGATAAAAGAAAACAAGTTACCTAGTCACTTCTAGGCAAGCTCAGCCCAATTCAGTGATCTCTCAGTCACTTCACTCCAGATTTAAAATTTAGCCTCATTATGGAGTTCCCTTCCTTTTTGTCTCCCTTCTCTCCCCTGGGGTCCAGTCTGGAGAGAGCGGTCTTGGGTGAGGGGGTGGTCAATGTTACTGCTGAGGCAGTGAAAAGGGGTGGCCCATTATTATTTTGGTCTTGCTTTGTCACGATGCTGTGCTGGCCTTGGGCTCCAGAAGGAAATAGTTTTGTCTACTGAGATGTGACTTCCCCTGCTTGGTCAGTGGGCTTTGTCCCTGCTCATCCTGAGGGTTCTGTGGTCCACACTGTGCCCTCCTAGTCCATACACTGAGCTCCCTGGGGTGGGTCTTCCAGGCCCTCAGCCTCTCCTTGCCCACCTTGTGGGTGCAGGGTGAGTTTGGCTGATCACAGACTCCTGAGGCCTTTGGGAGATCCTGTGCAGCAGAGTCACATTTTCCCCCAACACTCTTGTAACCTCCTGTGTGCCAGTGTTCCCATATAATTGGGGGTACAATGGATATCAGCAAGACTGTGGACCACCAAAGTTCTCTACAGGATGGGCGAAGGTGAGGGCCCCTCAATCTGGAGTTTTCAAGCCCACCTGGATATCTCTATCATTGTTAATCCCCTCTCCCCTACTGTAGCCTGGACTCTGCCCCATGGTGGTGGGTGGGAGGGCACCAAGACACATCAGTAACTAAGCTCTCCTTTTTACTCTTCAGCAGTCTTTCTCCTCCCCAGTTCTGGGGTTAATGTCTAGCAGGAGGATGCGAGGGGAGACAAGATATGCAGGTGCAGAGATGAGACAAGCCTGGTTCTGTCAGATTATAGCTCCTTTCAAAGGATTCCCGATTTATACCTCTCTCCATTTGAACTCAATAGTCAAAATATTTGTAGGGTTTGTTTCTTCCTTCCCAAAGCAAGAAATAAGTTGTGTCCAGTTGTCCAGGCTGGAGTAGAAGTCAAGGCAGGTTCACAGAACACTAGTGCAGAAATTTGACGAGCAAAGGCTTGCAGGGAGGAAGGGGAGAACACTCATTAAATCATTTCTTCTCATGCTGCCTTGGTGGGCGTGGAGGACAGGTTGCAGATTTCCTTCCCTGCTTTGCTATTTCATGATGGTGGGTAATTTACTAGATCATGTCCTGCTGCATGTTTTCAATAGTCTCCAAAACTGTCTTAGCTGACCCATGTCAGACACACACACATACACATACACACACACACACCCCACATACCTGGAGCCCACTGATCCTACTGATCCAGTTTACAGAAAGGGGAAAATGAGAAGTAGAGCCCTGGGAAGAGGCAGGGAGTCAAAAATCCTACGTCCTATTCTGGGCTCAGCCACACGCCGGTGGTGTGATTGGACTCACTTGCTTCCCCTCTCGCACTGTGGTTTCCCCATCTGGAACCCAGTGGCCCTAAAATAGTACTATTTCTCAGCCCTGGGGGAGGAGGGACAGGCCAAGAGAGTCCATTGCCCAAATCAATAATAATGATGATAACAGCAGTGATTATACTTTCCAAACTTACAACACTTCATCTGCTCAACCCTCCCTGCTTCTTTTAAAGTAATCATACAAGAAAATATACCAGCAGAAGAACAGCTTCTCACTGGACTTTCCTGACTCTGGGACTCAGCATAAGTCACTGTGGAACACCTTTGTTTTGTTCCTGATTCTGCCTCTAATTGCCGAGTGACCTTTGCCAGATCACTTCATCCTGTAGGTCTGCAGGATTGTTTGTTCCATCAGAGGACAGTGCCAAATTGTTCCCAAGGCTCTTTCAGTTCTAGGATTCTGTGTTTTGGTTGAGCACCGTATTAGTTTCTGACAGCTGCTATAACAAATTAACACAACTTTAGTGGCTTAAGAAAACAGAAATGTATGCTCTTTCTGTTCTGGAGACCAGAAGCCTGAAATCAAGGTGCCAGCAGGGCCACCCTCCAGGCTCTAGACGATAATCCGTTGCTTGCCTCTTCTAGCTTCTGGTTGCTGCTGACATTCTTTGGTGTTCTTTGGCACGTAGCTGTGTCACTCCAACCTCTGCCTTCATAGTCACATTGGCTTCTGTGTATGTCTCAAATAACTCTCTGTTTCTCTGTTATATGGATGGTATTTAGGGCCCACCCAGCTAATCCAAGATGATGTCCTCATCTCAAGATCCTGAACTTCATCACATCTACAAAGACTCTTTTCCAAATAAGGTCACACTTCTGGGCTCCAGAGATTGAGACATAGACAAACCTTGGGGAAGAGGGATGGTGGTTATTTCTCGGCCTACCAACCATGACAAGCTCAAGGTCCAGGGAGATTTGAGACATGCAGGAGAGTGCACCCCTGTTCCACAAGGGCAAGTAGTCCAATTGAGAAGTCATCACTCACATGCAATACTGTCAAGGAACAACACAAGCCAGGAGGTAGCAAGCATAGAGAGCCTGTGTAGCCTTGGGAAAAGAGCAGGGGCTCTGGACCTCGACGCCCTGGGTTCACATCCAAGCCTTACCACCTGCCAGCCAGGGAACCTTGAACAAATTATTTAATGTCTCTGGGGAAAATTATACTTACTGTATAGGTATGTTATAAAGATTAAGTATAGGCCAGGTTCAGTGGTTCACACCTCTAGTCCCAGCACTTTGGGAGGCCAAGGTGGGAGGATCACTTGGGGTCAGGAGTTGGAGACTAGCCTGGGCCACATAGCAAGACCCAGTCTCTACAAAAACAAAAAAATTAGCCAGGGTGGTGGCACACCCCTGTAGTCCCAGCTACTTGGGAGGCTGAGGTGGGAGGATTGCTTGAATCCAGGAGTTGCAGTCTGAAATGAGCTATGATTGCACCATTGCACTCTGGCCTGGGTGACAGAACAAGACCCTATCTCCCCAAAATAAAAATCTAAAAAAAGATTAGCTATAATATGTTCAGTGACTAGCATCTAATAGGCGCTTATGATTCAGCAGCAAATAAACGGGACAGCAAAAGGCAAGTGTGTGTGTGTACATGCATACGTGTCTGGCACTGTCTGCTAAGACAGTTTTGGAGACTACTAGGAGCATGTACCAGAACATGATGGCGTAACTAGAGTGATTCTCCACTGAATGATGAAGGACCAAGAACAGAAAAGTGAAATGACTTGCTCCAGTTTGCACAGGAGGTCATCACACAGATGGGTCTAGAACCAAGGTTTTCTAGAAAGCATTTTCCTCCACTTCCCAAAACTTTTGCTGTCAGGATGAATTTTTTGGATGATATTTCTACAGACAGCAAGGGACGTCCGTTTACACCCTTGGTTTAGCCAGAGAATATTGCAGATGACCAAGCCCACAGGCTCACACAAATCCAACCCTTCAGGCTGTCTTTAGCTTGATGCTCCACAACCATGGGTTGACACAATCACCAACAGAGAAAGGGAAGCTAGATAGCCCTTCTTCACTCTCCACTGCTCAGCGGGCATCCCTCCACATGGATGGTTCCTTTGAGTGTGGCTTTTGCCATAAAAATGAGATAAGAGGGACAGAGGAAATGCTCTTTACTGCCAACTCTCTGCTCCTATGTACAGATCTTCACCTGAGTCAATGTTTAACCCCTGACTGGAGTCAATGTTTAATCCCAGGCCAGCCAGCCCTGCAATCCAGCATTCCTCATCTAGCCTAAAATACAGAGTCATTTTAGAATCAACCACTGAAGAATAAAATTGTGACTGAATTTGCCAAAGCTAAATAAACTCTCCCCCCCTTTTTAGAGGATACTGGCTGTTTGGAATTATTCATGCTACCTGTTCCCATTAGCAGATAGTGGTATGGCGTTTGCTGACCCTAGCTGTCACTCAGTGGTAGGAGCACAGCGTTTATTCTTCCTGTTTCAGTTCTTCCTTTTGGGCTGGGGGAGAAGAGCATTGGGTGGGGACCACTGCCCTTGTTACCCAGCTGGCAATGCTGCTGGCTGGCAACATGCTTCCTTGTGAAGCCACTACTTGGAATCCCACTAGGGGAGCTGGAACTTGAATGTTCCGGTTGGCTGCATTTAGGCATGTTTTCTGGGAGTTTCTGAGCCCAGATTTATGTTCAAAGGCCTAAACCTTTTCCCAGGTGAGTCTCCCTATTAAGGGGCAGGTGGGAGAGGGAAGAGTTCATTAGAAAGACCCTGACTATTGGTGATTCTCTAGGGGCTTCCTAGAGTCCTTCCTAAAGAGCTCAGGGCATATGGCATGTACAAATGGGCAGCATTGTGTCAACTCTAAGAACAACATTAATCAGGGAAGTCAAAGGATGGCAAGCTGGGTGGTAGCGTGCAGGGACGTGAAGAGGGAAGGAAGGCCGCTGTCAGATTAGCAGCTCTAGTCTTCAGTTGGTGTTGGAGAGGTGACTCACTGGCCAAACGTGTGCATGCAATGCTCAAATCTTTTCACTTTCCTCTATGAACACACTGAGGCCCTGCCTTCTCCTTGACCACCTGCCTCCCTGTGTCACTGCCCTGATGTCCCATTCTTCACTGTTTTCCTAGCTCAGCTGCCTCTCAGTCAGAAAGTGAAAACAACATTTCTTCTGGGGCTCCCAGAGTGGGGAGGTTGTTGCTACCCTTTCTCATTTTGGCTGGTGAAAGAGTGAAGGTAGAAACTGTGGTAAGAGCCCCCTGAGATTGCCTGTGTCCAGCCCTGAGGAGCCTGCCGTGGGGAGCGGGGAGTGAAGTGGAACATAAAAGGCCCTGGAGGCTGGGTGTGGTGGCCCACACCTGTAATCCCAGCACTTCAGGAGGCCAAGTGAGGCGATCACTTGAGGCCAGGAGTTCGAGACCAGCCTGGCCAACATTGTGAAAAATACTCTACTAAAAATACAAAAGTTAACCGCGCATGCTGGCGTGCTCCTGTAATCCCAGCTACTCAGGTGGCTGAGGTAGGAGGACTGCTTGAACCCTGGAGGTGGAGGTTACAGTGAGCCAAGATTGTGCCACTGCACTCCAGCCTGGACGAGGGAGCGAGAGTCTGTCTCAAAAATAAATAAATAAAAAAAATATTTAAAAAAAAAAAAAGAAAGAAAAAGGCCCTGGAAATGGAAAGTCAGCCATGGTCCAAAAGCTCTCTCAATTCTTCTTTGGGTCTAGTCTCTACACTCCAAAGAGCTTTGATTCTCTGTTTCTGAGAGGCAGGGACATATGAGCAAACCTTTTTTGAGGTTACCCAACCATTGTCCTATGTGCTGTTACCTCCACACCCTGGCTAGGGAGAAGCGGAAGGAGGAAGATTTTTGGAGTAGACATCCAAAGTCAATAGGTGGAGTGTCAGGTGACTGGGCCCAGCCCCTCTCATAAGCCACTGGGGTCCTGCTGAAGACTTGCTGTTTCCTTGTTCCTGGTCTGAGCCTGGCTCTCGGCCCAAGGCTTGCCTGACAGGCAGCGATTGGAAAAATAGCCCCTGTAATCCCCTGCAGCCTGTGTTCATCTGAGCCTCAATGTTCCCATCTCTAGAATGGGAGTATGTTTCTTTTTGGTGATGTATATTGTAATTAATTTGTAGTTGTCTGTACTCCACTGGCAGAGGTAGGGAAGGAAAGTGCTGGCCCCATAAAATGTTTAGATTAGTTGCATTTGCTAATCAGTCTGATCTTCCCATGCCAGGCCCTAAAGAAGCCACAGTCTGAATTCTTTTTCTTGAACTCTTGTCTGAAATGAAACACAGTATCTTCAGACAAATTAGAGCATTCTGAAAACACCTTTGGACACAGTAGTCCTAGCTTTCTTCCTCTTCTCTAAAGTACTCAAGGTTAGGAAGCCAGAAGTTTGCCACTCAGGGAAAGAAGTAGCCTTTGTTTGACCCTCTATGCTCACAGCAGAACTGGTAGATCTGGATAGAGGTAGCAAGTAAGTGAGCAGTGGGAACAAGGCCAGAGGTGGCAGAGGCAGAACATAGAAGAGTTCAGATCCTACTCAGTAAATGTGTGTCTTTTTGTTGTTGTTGTTTGTAGAGATGAGGTCTCACTATGTTGCCCAGGCTGGTCTCAAGCGCCTGGCATCAAGTGATCCTCCTGCCTCACGCTCCCACAGTGCTGGGTTTACAGGCATGAGCCACGGTGCCTGGCTTCAATCAATGTCTTTGATGCAATGCATCCAGGAGGCAAACAGTGGTCTGCAGGCCAGGGGCATTGGCACTGGTGATCACCACATGCCTGTAGAGGTGCAGCATGGGGTTCTCTCCTAAGGCTGCCGCTTCTCTGCTGCCCACATGGGTTTCAGCTGGCCCCTTAGAGAGTAGGCAGTAGGATGACAGCTCATCATACTGCTGACAGTGAAGGGAGCAGGCTGGCCCGGGAAGGCCAGCACCTGTAAACCAAGCTGTGTCACTGTATGAAAAATGAAGAGCTTGGTGGTGCTGGACCCTGAATGCAGGGTTTGTTTCTTTCTGAGTAGAATCTCCATTCTCCATTCCACATTAGTCATGCTTTCAGCTCTGGGATATCTGTACCAGGTGAGCACAATCAAATAACCTGTGTCTACTTGGCTGCAGTGCGTTATGGGTCTCTCTGTGGAGGTATCTTCCCCTAGGGCCTGACTGAGGCTGTTATTAAACTGATTTTTTATGTCTCAGACCACAGTGGGCTATTGGAGGAGAGGAAGAAACCTCCAACGTATTAGCAGAGAGCTCTCAAAAGTTGGCTTAGAGTCATGCATTTGCCCCGAGTAAGCTGAGACAGATGGACATCCCCACAAATAAAGATCTGAGCTCCTTTTATACATATGTCAGCAAGGACCTCAGGGCTGGTGCCTGAATTTTTAGCTCTAGTTCCGGCTCTCTGAACTTTTTTTTTTAATGCCTCATTAGGCCAGGGTTGTAATAAACTAGTTAGGTGACTAAAGAGAACCAATTCCTGGAAATGATTATGAAACCTTCCATGCACGAGCCTAAGAAAAAGAGAGAGAGAAAGACAGAGAGAGGGAGAGAGAGAGAGAGAGAGAGAGAAAGAAAGAAAGAAGCAAACCTTTAGAGCTTTACACAGGAAGGGACCTGACCAGATACTCAGACTATACATCCAAGCAAGGGGGAAGGCAGGGGACACAAAGATCGAGAATGCAGCTGTGGAGGTGAGGTGCTTTGCATGAAGTCCCAGTGTGCCCTTTCCTGAGTAGTGTAACTTAACTTCTCTGGTCCTCAGATTTCCCATCTATGAAATGGGAATGATCACACCTACCTTACAGAAATGTTACCGTAACTGTGATACACAATGTGAAAACACCTAGGATAGTGCCTGCTGTGCAGAAACACGTTAACAAGCAGTAGCAGCGTTAGTAAGTAACAGTGTAAAGTGAACTGCAGAAATGCACCCGAACCTGAGAATCTGCTTGATCTTGTGAAAATCAATGGTCTCCCTGCATCCTCGATTAGATTCTAATCCTAAGTTAGAAATCCCCAGGGAGGCTTCCCTGATTCTGGCCTAGGGATAGATGTTTGCCTGCCCCTCATCTCAGTGGTATAGGCATCATGCTAGCCGGAGGTATAAGATGAAAAACAACAGCACTGACAATACCAAGTGGTGGAGGTGGCCTCCTCTGCCAGTTTGGCCTCTGGCCCTTTAAATCAACCCTCCTGACTACTCCATGGATCAGTTAGCCCATAAAGGAGAGCTGTGAACACTTGGGGCTTCCCCGCTTCTCTCCCTGAAAGTTCTTACTCAGATCTTATCTCTGCCCCCTCCAAACTCTTGGCCCTGGGACTCTAATCTGGCCCTGCCCTGGCCTTTTGAACTCTTACCAGCTCCACCTCTGGTGGAGCTTAACTTTCCCTATAACGGCCTCCCTGCTAGAAACGCTCCTGGCTCTAGCCACGTGGCCAACACTCTTGCTGGGCTGGTTGTCTCCTCCCTCCCCTTCTTCCCCCAAGATGGGGTAGTCAGACAGAACATTCTAGCTGCTGAATTCCACAATGAAAGTATTAGAGCCGTTTGGAGGAAGGAGAGGTCCTGGAGAAAGGTGGTCAGGGAAGCCCTTGAGGAAGAATAGGATCTGATCTCCAGATCCGAGTGGGAACAAAAGAGTCCTGTACAATTTCATGGCTTAGTCCAGGGACTGGCAGATTCTGGCTCAAGGGCCAAATCCAGCCTCCCTCCTGTTTTGGGAAATAAAGTTTTGTTGGAACACAGCTGCGGTCATTTGTTTCTCGATTGCCTGGCTGCTTTTGTGCTGCAACGGCAGAACTGAGTAGTTGCCATAGAGACTGTATGGCCTGCAAAGCCTAAAATGTTTACCATGTGGCCCTTTACTGAAGAGTTGGCCAACCCCGGGTTTAGTGCATCAGGCTTCCCCAAACAGTGATGTGAGGAACTCCAGCCCCTTGGGACTGCTTCAATCAAACACAATAATCCAACACATCTGGGAAACACACATTATGTCCCCATCCCGAGGTGTGAAAACCCAGGGTGTTTCACAATACACCTCCATATAGCAAAGGCTCCAAAAGATCCTGCATAGAAGAATGTTTGTGGTTTCCCAGCATTTCCAAAACTTCATTAATCTACCAAACCTCCTTTTCCTCAGAACACCTTTTCACATCCTGAGAATCTAGCATTAGAAACAGTCTGGGTGCTGGGCCCATCCCTGCCACAAATGAGAACCAATTCCTGGGAATGATCATGAAACCTTCCATGCACAAGCCTAAGAGAGAGAGAGAGAAAGAAGTGAGCCTTTAGAGCTTTACACAGGAAAGGACCTGACCAGATACCTAGATCATAAATCCAAGCAAGGGGCACGGCGATCCAGAACATAGCTGTGGAGGTGGGCTGCTCCGAGTGGCCTTTGCTGAAGTACACACCTTGCAGAGCCTGCTCCCTCATTGGTTGAATAGGATCCATGATGTCTGTCCTATCTCCGTTACAGGATTATTTGGGGCAGGTCATTGAGAAAGCGAACAGGAAAATAGTCTCGAGGGACGACTGTGGTATCCTTGATTTTTGACAGTGAGTTTTGCTTTGGTACAATGCTCAGCAATGGTGAAGTGAAAAAGGCCCTGAACCAAGGTCACGAGTTCTCTTTGCTAGTCCTCACAGTGCTATAACTAACTGGGTTAACTGGGTGACTTTAAACAAGCGCCCCCCACCTGTACCCTTAACCCTGTTGGGCCTCAAGTCCCTCTCTTCTAGAATGAGGATATTAGACTAATCTCTAAAGATCTGTTAGCTCTGAAATTCTGCGATTCCATGTGGTTAGATGTGTGCAATTTTCCTACTTATCCAAAACAACAGGTTTCTCTTATAAGCCATAAAACCGGCATCTCCTTGATTTTCTTTGTACAGTGTCTGTGTTCAGAACCAGATATAAGGGGGTATTACTGAAGGATTTCTGTGCTGCTGACAGCTTAGAAGGCAGGACTAAGCCTTCTGGAAATGTCTACCTGGCAATTCTCAACTCGATATTGGTGCCTATTTTTCCTTTCTGCCTCCACCGCTCAGGCTGTTCCATCCAACAATGGAGCCCAGACAGTTTGCCAGCGGATCTGGCAAAAGAAAATAGTGGATGTGATTCCTGGAAAGGCAGTGGGGCCTAGGGTGGAGCGAAAGTTCCCTGACAAGCATGAGGTGATGTAGTTACAGGGCAGAATCCACATAAAATTCCTCTCTTTTGTCTCCCACCTCACCCCCAAAAACCATTTTCCAGCTTCACCAACAGTCCTCCATATCGAGGATTTATAAGCAGCTGAACAAGAGGGCCTTTATGAAGAAAGCAAGAATCTACTGAAAATACCCTGCTCCTCCATGAATGTAGGAAAATCCCAGAAAATCTTGGCCGGGTCAAAAGGTCTACGGCACAATAAGCCTGGGTCCAAATGGGGCGGGATGATGTGAGGAATGGGTGTTTGCCCTTTTGATCTCAGCGGAGAAACCAGCTGCCTGTGGGGTCATCTAGGGGACTCCCAAAAGGAGGGGCAGAAGCCCAGGGGGACCCAGAGTTCTTGCAGAGGAAGGGTGCCTAGAGGCCACTGAGCCCCCAAGTCAATCAGACACAGGTATTTATTGGGGTCCTACTGAGTTGGAAGTTCTCTGGGGGCATCATGAGACAGATAAAATGCAATTACTGCCTTAAAGGAGCTTAGAATCTACTTGAGAAGGCAAGGCTGGTACACTTAAATATAATACATGTGAATGGGAGGCTGAGTGCTAACAGTAGTCAGAAAAGGAGCCCCCAGCAAGGGCTGGGAGTGTTGATAGGGGATTTGTCACTTTCCACACTGATTGGAAGCCTCTTCTATTTTCAAACATTCAGGAATGGAAATTTCATGCTTTTCCTAGGTGACCTCTTCCAGTGTTTCATACACTGTTCTTGAAGTCTCCTTTGAGTCATCTTGTCACCTTTGGACGTGGATAATGCTTGACTTTCTTGGGCCCAAGGACAGCCAGCCTTTCTTCCATGGGTGGAGCACCGGCTGCATCAGCTTCTCTTCCCACAGGTGGAGGAAGGATGATGGAAAGAGGCTGGGGTCCTGAAGGCCTTTGATCTTGGTCCTTCTCCCATGGTAACTGAGCAGTTCATCTCTCTGTCCCTCAGGGTCCTGGATTTCTCTCTGGGGCAGTCAGGCTGGCCCCAGCAGGAAGAGAGTCATCCTGGAGCATCTTTCTTTCCACATGGGGCAGCTGGTCTGCTTGGGGGTTCACTTCCAGAAAATGTGTCATCTGAATTAAGGTGACCCTTTCTGCCTCCTGAGCTGCAGAGACACAGAGCAGACTGTGAGGGTTCTGGGTAAGGACAGCACTGACTTTGATTTCCTAAGAACCACTCCCAACCACTGCAAGTTTTCAAGAACTTTCTGACACAGAAGCAATGGAGCCCTAGTTGGCTAGGCTAAGCCAGCCTAGCCCATGATAGGGCTTGGACTTCGGGGCCTGGGTCTGAGAACCTTAGCCTCCTCCACTTGCTGCCAGAAAATCTCACCCTTTCTTCACTAGGTGTACATATCACAGAGCCCTCACTTTAAGAGTACTTAAACCTGGGCATGTTGCTCTCAGAGAATTTTAGCTGGGCTTTGCCAAAGGGGGAAAATGCGAGGTTTGATCCCAGGTCTGGGCCCTGCACTCCTGCTCTCTGCTGTGAGGGTTGCTTATGAGGCTTATGGTTAACATAGGCATCACAGCCTTTGTAATCTTCCAGGAGCTTCTCCTTGTGCTCTGGGATGCCATTGACACGTAAGTACAGAGATAATTTCTAATTTTATTGATTAAAAACCAAGGCAGTTTGGGCAGAGTGGCTCACGCCTATAATCCCAGCAATTTGGGAGGCCAAGGATCACTTGATGTCAAGAGTTCAACACCATTCTGGCCAACACAGTGAAACCCCATCTCTACTAAAAATACAAAAATTAGCCAGGCATGATGGTAAATGCCTGTAGTCCTAGCTACTTGGGAGGCTGAGGCAGGAGAATTGCTTGAATCTGGGAGGCGGAAGTTGTAGTGAGCCAAGATCACACCATTGCACTCCAGCCTGGATGACAGAGCAAGAGTCTGTCTAAAAAAAAAAAAAAAAGAAAAGAAAAGAAAGAAAAAAAGAAAGAAAGAAAAGAAACCAAGGCCAAGAGTGGTTAAATGGCTCAGCCTAGAATTTAGCTCTTCTACATTGAAAAGTCCTGGCAGGACTCTACCCCTACCCAGCCCTGAGGGTGTCAGGTGGGAACCAGAACTCTTCTATCTAGCCTTGGGGCTACTCAACTCACAGGTCCTCCTTCTCCAGAGCTTCCTTTGCAATAGAACCAGAGCCATAAGCATAAACAGGGCCAGCATGGTAGAGACAGGAGCCAGGGTCCGAGAGCTGCTTTCATCTTCTGGAAAAGTACTACAGTGGGGGTGGAAAGAGCACAGGGGAGAGGAGGTTGGAGCTGGGCAGAAGATTAAAGACCATTTACCCACATCCTTACTTTACAGATTGGGGAGCTGAGGCCAAAGCAAATGGGCAGCCCTGGTTCCCATGGCTGGTTAGTGTCAGAGCTTGGGGCTAGAATCTCTGTCTTCAGGCTTCCAAGCCTGAATCCTTTTCCCTCTTCCACCCATCTGTGTGTGGGCCCTGCGATGCCTCCCAGTGAGAAAGAGGACTAGGTGGGAGCAAGCGACTCCAGCCTCAGCACTGGGCTCTGCCACAACCTTTCCTTGTGGCTTCAGTGCATCACCCCCTCTCTCCGGAGCGCCTATTCTTTATCTTTAAAAACAGAAAGTCCTAATGAAGGTTCCAGCCTAAATATTGTCTTTCTATCATTTAGATATCACTTGAAAACCACATGGAAATACTCAGGGAGCGTTCTCACAGCAAGGCCCCTTGGGTGAGGGAGGGCATCCGATGTGTATGTCACTGTCTTGTGGGTACAAAGGGAGAGAAGTGAGCAGAGGGAGAGGGGCCTCCCTTGCATGCCAGGGATGAGGCAGATGTGGGGCCCCCCAACCGGGAGAAGGTGCCTGGGGTTACCGCTTCACGGAGGACTCCTTGCCAGGGGGTCCCCAGGGTCCTACTGCCGGGGTCTGGCTCAGTGTTGCTTGGGGACCTCTGTCTCCAGTGGCAGCATCTAGGTCCCCTGCAGCGCTTCCTTCCCCAGATGCTGCCTCCA
Source organism: Homo sapiens (assembly GCF_000001405.40). Lineage (NCBI taxonomy): Eukaryota > Metazoa > Chordata > Mammalia > Primates > Hominidae > Homo > Homo sapiens. Next base: position 206,960,561 of record NC_000001.11, read on the forward strand.
TGCTGGTCCACACATCTGCAGCTGGAGTTCCCAAGATCCACACATCTGCAGCTGGAGTTCCCAAGGTCCACATGCCTGCAGCTGGAGTTGTTTCTCCAATGGAACCCTGAGATTGTTGCTTAGAAACTGGCGTTGCTTGTGGGAGGATTTCCCAGGCCAAAGTTTCTGAGACCAGAGCTGGTGGCCCAATGGTTCCTAGGACCTTTTTGGCTGCATCAAGAGCTATCCTGACCCCCTCTATGTCCTCCCTTGGCCTATCAGCCTTGGTAGTTGTCATCTCCCTCCTGTCCTTGCTGGCTCTAGCCCTGTTTGTCACCGAGCTTCTGGTGCCCTCCCAAACACCTTCTGTTGTATTGGACATGCTTCTGCTCTTTGAAGGTGGACTCTCTGGAATCGGAGCAGGTGCTTTGACAGAACCCTCTGCCCAGCTGCCTGTCCCTGGAGCTGCTGGCCTGGTTGCTCCTGGGGTTCGTCTTCCCTCAGCTGAAGCTGTAGTCTTGCTGGTTCCTGGAGTGGAAGCAACTGTGTCCCATGCTGTCCCCTGTCCTAAGGTCTGGGTGGTTCCTGGGGTCCATCTGTTGGCCACTGGAGACGCTGTTCCATAGGATCTCATGGTGAGCTCCCCAGCAGCTGGAGTGGCTGTGGGGAGGGTGCTGGCGGGACCTGTGTGGACAGCAGAGGGAGGCCACATGGGAAGGCTGGCAGGCCACCTACTGGATTTGGCAAAGGACACCAGGTTTAAAATGTCTGCTAAGTGGAATGCAACCTCACTAAGAGTTGCAGTCTTTGACCAATAGGTTGGATAAAATAAAAAATAGGAAAATGTTTCATTCTCCAGTTTGTGGCAAACATTCTCTCGTCTGTGGCAGACACTGACATGTTATACTCCTATTTCCTTCTCCCATGCCCACATATTTTCTATCCAGCTGTCTTGAATTCCCAAGCTGTTTTCTCCAGAGGCCCACCGCCCAGCAGGTATTGTTCTTCAAAAAAGGTAAAAGAAACACTCCACTTCTAGCAGAGCAGCCCGTTGCAGCAGGCGGCTGGAGAGCAGCATCTAATAGAACTAACCTGCTTTCAGGCTGCCTCCTGTCATGCTGTCTCCTCTGCCAAGTGGCCTTTCACAGCCTGGAGGCCCTTCCTATGCTCTGGGTGCCTGACTTGGGATCAACAAACAGAACCTGCTGCAGAGGGCCTAGGCCTGGGAGCTGTCAGATGTTGGCTGAGGGACTCAGCAAGAGTCTGTGTGAAGGACAGCCCAGTTGCAATTCTTCTGTCCTGCCTGTCACACCTCCTCTGCAGTGCTGCCGCTTCTCTGCATGTCTGAACATGCAGCTATCAGGATCCTAAGAAGCCACGTCATCCCATTCTTGGAGCCGTCTCCAAATATATATTTCATGACATTTGGGGGACACAGGTGGGAGAGTGTACATGCATTCACTGGGGAAGTTTTTCCTAAAATCTTCCTTTTTTTTGAAGGCAGCCTTCTTCTGAAATGAAAGCCTACTTCTTAAAGTCTTTGCCTTGCCCCAGCTTTTCATTGTCACTTCCCTAATGTTTCAAGCCCTTCTGGGTCTCTGAGGCTTCTCTCCCACTTTCTCCTTCCTAGAACGTGCTTCACCAAGCTTGGCCCATCAGCCGTCAGCTCATACCTGCAGAGATGGTCAGATTCATGCTTAAGAACAGCATGTTGTTTTCACTTCCAATGCCGCAGAGGTAGCATCCGATGTCATCCGGGGACAGTTGGGACAGCCTCACCACAAACAAGCCTCTCTGTGGAAAGTCTGTGAGGGCCACACGGTCACGATAGCGATGGTGAGTATACTGGTTGGTGGACACAATGGTCTGGCAGATCCATCTTGGGGGCCCCAGACGGCACCAGTACTTCCTCTGGTGCCTGTTGACAGATGAGGGGGCATAATGGCACTGGATGGTGACAGCTCCTCCAGGCTCCCCTGACACCAGCCTTGAGCCCTTCAATGAATTTGGAGCTGCAGACAGAGAAGGAAGTCAAAGGAGAGGAAGTGGTGAGCATAGTCACTGTTTGGGGACTCACGAACTCTGAACTCTGCCAGAATTAGGGGTCAAGTCAGAAAATACCACTGTGAACATGGAGCAGAATCAATATAAAAATGGCAGAACTCAGCCATTGGGAAAGCAGATGTTGTCCCAAGGTATGGAAGATGAAAATGTAATCATAATCTTACCCACCTTGATAAGCTAACACTTATCCTGAGCTATCCTGGTCCATCCAGAGCCTGGGTTCCCCTGTGCTCCAATGCAGATGTTTAAAAAGATGCCATCTAAGCACACATGAGAGGGCTGAGGCAACATCTGACACTCACTCACTCAGTCACTCCTCACTGTAGATTTAGACAACACAGTCCAAACTATGCCACCAATGATAACATTAAATGGTAATCTATCATCAAAAGACAAAAATATTCACAATTATAAACAAGGACCCTTTCAGGACAACAGTGATGATTCCCTGATAGAAGGGCTCTGGTTTGCATGGAATGTAAAAGACAGATGCTAAGCAGTAAGAACATATCAGTGTACCTTTCATCTGCAAAAGACGGGGAGTCCTGAAACACAAGAATCCCCTTCTGCTTGGTGGGTACCTGTCTGGACCAGTGGTTGCAAAATTTTTCACACTAGTCACTTTTCCATAGAAACAGAAACAACCAAATGCCACCATATAAGCACAGATGAGCAGTACTATGAATATGTCTGCTTGGCAACAGGCCTAAGGACAATTCGTAGTTGAACCACATATATGGCCAGCTTCCTGGATGACTTAAATGTGATGGGGTGCAAGCAGAAACAAAGTTCATTCTTTCTCTCACTGCCTCTTCATACCTTCTCCGTGGACATCTCTGATCCTTGCTGAAATTTCAGGCATAATCTCATGTATAGTAGCTTTCTTTCGTAATTTCTCATGGATAATAAAGAGCCCCGCCTAGTCTAAACTTATACATCCAGTCCAGTCCAGTGAAAGATCACAACTCCAATCTTTTGCCCAGTCAAAACCCTTTCCTTTCTCCCAGCTGGGCTTGGAGTCTGTCATGGAGGAGGGGGGCATGGTTGGGGTCTCTTGCTTTGCTCTATCCCTTCCCCTGTTCAAAGCTTCTGTTTGGGGGTCCCTCCAGAGTTGGGCAGAGTGGGGAGAGGAGAGGTGAATGAGACAGTTGTGATCTGCCCTTGGTGCTTTCTGGGCATGGCAGATGACCAAGGCTGCCTCTTTTTTGCCTACCAGATGTATTTTTAGCATATATGGCTGTCGTTCTCTCCTTATGAGAATTGCAGGTTCTTCTGCTGGCCATTAGTGGCCACCACCCACAAGCCTATGACTTCTGGCTATCTGCCCTGCTCTGTGGTCATAGTCCCCTCTGGGTGGCCCTCTAGGTGGAGGCCCTGCATTTAACACAGGAAGTACACCTGTGTCCTGCAGTCAGAAGAACCTGGGACAAAGGGCATGCTTGTTGAGTGGCTTTCTGGAAGTTCCTCCTCTTACTTGGCTTAAAGTGAGGAGAAAGTGATGTCTCCTGTCCCCTGGGACAAGTGGAGGGGACCACAACACAGGGACATCTCTCCGACAAAGCCCTCACAGTGAGCTCTGCAGCCGCTGATGATTCTCTCCCTCCTTCATTTGGCCTGGACAGCTTCCCGCGGGGCTGTTGCTGGGACCAGCTCTATGTGTCTTTCTACAGCCCTGTACATGTGGTTCAACATCTTGCGGTAGGATGTGGATGCCTGGCACCTATCAGTCTGTTCTGCCTTTAGGATGTCTGAACCCCAGAAAGTTCAGTTTAATATCCTTGATTTGGTTTGGATGTTCGTCCCCTCCAAATCTCATGTTGAAATGTGATTCCCAATGTTGAGGGTGGGGCCTGGTGGGAGGTGATTGGGTTGTGGGGGAGGATCAGTCATGAATGGTTTAGTACCATCCCCTTGGTGCTAAATGAGTTATTTCTCAGTTCACATGAGATCTGGGGCCTCCCCCCACCCCTTCTCTTGTTCCCTCTTGCGCCATGTGCTGTGCTGCTCCCGTTTTGCCTCCCCTGTAAGCAAACGCTCCCTAAAGCCTCACCAGAAGTCAAGCAGATACCGGCACCATGCTTCCTGTACAGCCTGCAGAACCGTGAGCAAAATTACACTTCTTTTCTTTATAAATTACCCAGTCTCAGGTATTTCTTTATAGCACCGTAAAAATGGCCTAATATAATCCTATTGCCAGGAACAGTTAAGCAGTTTGTGGGTGCCAGAGCAAAATGAAAATGCAGGACTTCTTGTTCAAAAGTTATTAAGAATTTCAACATGGCAACAGCAGAGCATTAAGCCAAGTACCTTCTGAGTATGGGGTCCTGTGTGACTGCACAGGCCCAGGAAACCTACCCTGCCTATTATGTGTGTATTCAGGTCTAACTGCTGGAAGAGTAGAGGTCATAAATGTTATGTCTGTGCTGATACTCACTGTACGTTTCATTAAACAACACACCCCAAACCATGCCACTAATGGGAAAGTTAAATTACCATTTAAATTTACCAAGTTGTGCATATATGCAATATTCACAATTACAAACAAGGACCATTTCAGGACAATAGTGATGATGCCCTGATAAAGTGTGCATACCCCAGATTTCAGGAATTCCCCTGATCTGTATGTGAAACATTTGAGAGGAGCAGGGTTCCACTAATCAGCAGGATGGGGTGGTCTTACTTCACAATAGAAAGCTGATTAAGAATCCTTAATCAACCCTTGCAAATGCACATAATTTTTTATTAATACCAAAGTTAAGAACCAATACCTTAAGGATTCATTTGATAGATCACTGATCAATAGCTCTTTGTTATATACAATAATTAAGGTTTGGGAAATTTTATATTAACTACCATAAGAATTCAAGACCAGGCCAGCATTTTAGGGTCAATGTGTGCCCACCTGGGGGCCCTGATGCCAACTCCCTGCCCATCCATGGAGGTGGGTGCCCTGGCTCTCATCCCCTCATTGTTACTCAGCAATTGTCTATTGCTATGGCTTCCATTAGGAGAGGCTAGGGCTGCCTATAGCTGTAGGGAGCCTGACTTGGTCTGAGAGAGCCTGGGAAGTCTGAGGTCCATGGTCGAACAAAGGGAGAGTAGGGGTTGTACCTGCAAAGGAGCTCTCCTCCCGCCAGCAGAGGGGCGAGGAAGGCCTGAGTGTTCCCATGGCCCGGAGATGGGTCCTGGAGGGGAGAGAGCCCTCCCACAGCCATCTCGGATGGGGTCTTTTTTGTGGAAGGGCGAAAGAAGAACCTGCAGCAAAGGAAGGAGATGGGTCATCAGGGGGCCATCCATGTGTCCACAAAGGCACCTACAGAGGAAGAAGCAAACAGCCAGTTCCAAACCCCTGCCAGGCCAGATAGCTCCAGGCCATCCATCAAGTAAGAGCTGCCTGCCCTCCTGCAGCTTCTCCCTCCCACTGCTACCACCTTGCTGGGGTCTCAAGCAGCAGCTGCCTAGATTGGGAGGAGAGGGGTGGAGAAGAGGGAAGGCAGCAACCACACCCCCTTCCTGGACTGCAGGCCTTGAGGGGATGAGGGAGTATACCTTTAAATGAAGATTAAAGTGCTGACCAAAGTATTTAGCTGGAAACTTTAAATGATCAAATTTAGAACGTTTGAGACTTAAAGCAATTAATTTAGGACTATTACTTAGCAGAAAAATCATGGGCCTGCCTGAGTTGTCGTTTACTGAAAAATTTTAAAAGGGACAGCAGGAGATTAAAGAGGTGGTGTGATTTTATCACGCAGAGTGCTTACTCAAATATTGGCTACATTTTTTGTTTTTGTTTTTGTTTTGAGATGGAGTCTCGCTCTATTGCCCAGGTTGGAGTGCAGTGGCGCGATCTCAGCTCACTGCAACCTCTGCCTCCAGGGTTCAAGCGATTCTTCTGCCTCAGCCTCATGAGTAGCTGGGACTACAGGTGCGTGCCACCAGGCCCGGCTAATTTTTGTATTTTTAGTAGAGACAGGGTTTCACCATGTTGCTCTGGCTGGTGTCGAACTCCTGACCTTGTGATCCGCCTGCCTGGGCCTCCCAAAGTGCTGGGAGTACAGGTGTGAGCCATCACGTCCGACCTTATTGGCTACCTTTGATTCATTAAAACTCTGATTTGTTTTTAAGCCAGTTGTTAATCCTTTTTTTGGTATTATGATGGAATTTCCATTCATTCATTAATTTATTCAGTCATTATTTATTAAGCATCTACTTGGGACTAGATTCTAGGTACTGGGTACTCTTGGCGCATACTCACTATGTTCCTCAATGGTTCCCTATTACCATCAGAATAAAATCTACTACAGCATGGAGATGGAGCCATTTGTCATCTGAGCATGGTTTATACCTGGACAGTTTTACCATACCAGCCTGTGAGGACCTTTAGGGCAGCCTGGAAGACTCAGGTCTGGTTTTGTAAGCCCTGAACCTGGGCTGGGTTTGGGACTCACCTTGTAGCAGGCACAGTATGAGGAAGAGGGGCATTTTCCATCCCGCCCTCCTGCTGGTGACCTGCAAAAAACACTCTAAATGAAAAGAGGCCTGAGAGAAGCTGGGTGAGGGTGGTGGGACTTGAGAGAACAAGCATCTTCTCACTTTGGGATCTCGGTTTGCTCAGTGCAGGGGCTGGGTTGCAGATATCTGAGAGTAAGACAAGCACTTCCCTCCCTGAGAAAGCATGACTTTATCCTCACACTCCTAAGCATGCACATTTTGGTCACGTCCACGAGGCCAAAATGTCCCTTACCCTTGAGGGTTCTGTGTTCAGAAGAGGTGAAACTCCCTCTGTAGGATTCTAGCCTGGGCACCCACTTGCCAGCCTGGAGCTCTGAGTTTGTGGGGAGCACCGTGTAGTGGAAAGGCCACGTTTGAAGTCCAAACTCTAGTTGGAATTGTGGGACCTTGGAAGGTTAGTCTCAGGGATTCGATTCCTTTTCAGGAGAATGAAGGAATCTGCAAGGGGTTGTTGTTACACAACTTACGTGAGATTGTGGTAAAGTGCCAGCAATGAGCCTGGAGTAGTCCACTTCTCTTCCTCTCCTCACCACTTCCTGTTTGCAGAAGGGGAATTGGTTTTTTCAAGGGAAGATTTCTGTTTCACTGTTAGTATGCCTCGGTTAGTAACAAGGAGTTAAAAATTAAATCTCAGACCAAGTAGCTCTCTGCACTAGGGTGCTATTCTGTTTCTTCTCCACAACTTCTAGAAAGCCCTCTCTGTCCCCCCATCCACACTGACCTTCACCCCACTGTGGTCTCTCCCACTGGCCTGGGGAGCTTCCAGAGGGGACAGCTTTGTATTTCATCCCTCTACCATCATGCTCTGAAAGGGGATCTAGCACGTTGTAGATGTGAAATGCACAGCTATTGTGAACAGTAACCCTCCTCTTTTAATGGACACCATACTGATCACTACACAATGGTCTTTTACCGCTTGCTGATGAAAAAGACAGAGATTGTGGCCGGGCACAGTGGCTCATGCCTGTAATCCCAGCACTTTGGGAGGCCGAGGCGGGTGGATCACGAGGTTAGGAGTTCAAGACCAGCCTGACCAACATGGTGAAATCCCATCTTTACTAAAAAATACAAAAATTAGCCTGACGTGGTGGCACATGCCTGTAATCCCAGCTACTGAGGAGACTGAGGCAGTAGAATTGCTTGAACCCAGAAGGCAGAGGTTGCAGTGAGCCCGTGCCACTGCACTACCACTTGGGTGACAGAGCAAGACTCTGTCTCAACAACAACAACAACAAAAAAGACAGAGATTGTACATTACACTTCTCTTGTATTCCCCAGAGGGTATTCATGGATGCTTTTTGATGGATTAAAAATCTACTCTTTGAATCTATCTATTGCTTCTGTTTCTGAGACCTATAGATTTTTGAAAAAGCAAACTAAAGTTAGCCGTTGAGTTTTTCTTCCTACTCTAATACGTTCCTCACTACTGTTAAGGACAGGCGCTAACAGTCAATGGTTTGGCCCATGGGCAGAAACCCCCTCACTCCCCAAACAGTTTAAGCCATGCAAAACCACTGGCCAGTTTGTGACACAGGCTGTGCAGGAGGGAATCACAAAGAGGAAAACAGGGAATAGGGGAAAAGAGAAGGCAGAGGAAGTAGGAGAACAGGGAGAGAAAAGGAGAGGTAGGAGGTGAAAGAAGGGAAAAGGGAAGAGAGAAGACAGAAGCAGAGAAAAGTAGAGAGTCCATGGGGTGGCCCTGAGCTTGTTTTCCTGCAACTAGACTTGGCAAGTTGTCCCCTCAGCTTGGCTCTGCCCAGCCCTCTCCACTAAGGCCTTTCCCTGCTCTACCCAGTTTGAGCCCCAAGAATGGCCAGATCTTTAAAAGTCCATAGGCTCTTTATGCATCTTTCTGTGCCTTCGCTGTAGCAAGTCCCCTAGCTTGGGCACTGCGATGGCAGTCTCAGACCTTTCCCTGCCTTACAAAGCTTCCTGTCCCCACCTGGAGACTCTCCCAGGGTGTTTGTTCCTGCACCTAACTCATAATTTGATTAATATTCACCAAGTCCTGGCTGATTCTGGGGCTGGTACCTAGACTCCCCCGGGTGAATTTTTCTAAAGCACTAAGTGCTGATGCAGCACATGTTGGGGCCAAAGTCTCTGCATCATACCATCCAGTTCCTCTGAAGTCACCGGTGCAGCAATCTCTGGGCTTCAGGGAGAAAAGCCGGCTCCGTGGGGCAATGAGGAAGCAGGAGTATGAGATAAAATGTTTCCAGGGAGTTATCAGCTTTGATTGGAGGCTGGGAGGATAATACTCAACGGAATGTCTCCAAGTCACCCTCTCTGCCAATGACCTTCAGAAATCCTTTCTCCAGGAGACAGGGGGCCATAATTCAGTAGCCTGGGGCCACAGGCTTCTGTTACTGCACACTGCGTTTTAGGGGATGAGACCATATGAGGGGACTCTCTTGTCCCTCTCATCCTGCTGGGAAGGGCATGCACCTCACCTCAGCTTCAGCACAGGCTGCTTGCTGCATGACTTCCCAGATGCCTACTGGCCCTCCGAGCCCCAGTTCACTCCTATCCCCTCCCCACATCCCCTGGGCAGCAGATAAGAAGGGAAGGAGTCAGTGTAGTATAGAGGAGAGAGCACAGAACCAGGACTCAGGAGGGGCTGCAGCAGCCTCAGGCTGCTGCAATAACTTGGCCAATGTTCTGTTCCTCTCCTCTACAAAAGAAGAGCTTTGACTGCATGTTCTCCGTGTTTCTTCTCTTTCTAACGTTTTTTTGGTTCTAAATTACCCAGGACTTCTAAGGAACCATGCACTCTGGTGGGTGTGAGCAGAATAATAGGGAGCTGAGAGGGAGCCCCTATGTTCTGGACTCTAGAACCCTTACCTGGCCTCCTGGGAAGGAGCCCACCTGCTCTGGGAAGGGCACTGAGGAGCATGTGTGACAGCTATGGCTGCAGTTCACCCCCCACATTCAGAGGCAAGATCCCAACCTCCAGGAGAAAGCATCATTTCACCTTTTGTTCTCCAGGCTTCACTGTGGCCTCTCCATCCATCTCAGTCCAGAAACAAGATCCAGGTGGACTTTTCTTCTCCTTATGAGATGCAGGTGTTTGGACGACTTCTAGTTGCTCTCCTTTAAACCTGGAGACTGAGAAGTCAAGGTGGTATTTTGGAAAGCAGCTGGAGCTAGCAACGGAAGGTCGGGGTGCAAGGCGTAGCTCTGCCACTCACCTCAAGTCACTTCTCTTTGGATTTTATTATTTATAAGAGGAAGCCAGTCCTAATCCCTTGTCATTCTTACTGTCACTTATTCCTGAAGAACTTTTCCAGGAGTGGTAACAGTAGCTTCAAAAAAGAAAACACTGATCCATATCCTTCCTCCTCTTGTGTCCCCTTCAGGGGTCTCAGACTATTTAGGGTGCCCCAGCTTACCAGCCCATTCAGGCATCTCCCGGACAAGTGATGCAACAACTTGGGCAGGAGGGCAGGGAAAATTCAAAATTCAGGAGAGGAATTCCCCTGCCATTTGGCTGGCAGCTGGTGCCCTCCAGCTGACCTGGCCCCTCCAACTCTCATAGAGAAGAACTTTGGGCAGCTTGGGTCACTGACTTCAGAGTTGCATGATCTGGTGGTTACTAATTCACGTCCCTGACAAAGCATAATACAGTAAATGAGATGATCTTCATGGAAAGAGGACACTGAGAAGTGTGGCTTACCCAAATAGATGACACAGTTGAAAAATACCCCAATATTTCCCTTTGGAAAATAGTTTATGGGTTTTTCTTTTCCTTGTAAAAGATGTGATCTTCCAGTCTCTGTTGGTCTCAAACTGACATTAAAATGGCTTGTACAGCTGAAGCACTCAACAATGAATGGGCACAAGGGGATGGGGGGTGCTGCAAGCTGCAATTAGGGACCTTCACTAGGACCCCTGATAGATATGATAATACGGCACCTCTGACCAATTAGAAAGGGCAACTCTTCCTTAAGAATAAATTCAGTTGGTATATTGTTGTGTAATTTGCTGTAGCCATAGATGGCAGCATGTATTCTCCATGCATTTCCCCTTCCAAATTTGAAGGCAGATTGAGGGTAGAAATTGAGTCACTGAAAGCAACAGAAGAGGAAGAGAAACAACTCTATGGGGTACTTGGAGTTTGGCCATGACAGGACAATTGTGCATAGTGTGTGCTGGTAACTGTGTGCACAGCTGTGTGTGCTGCTCTCCCACGACTTGGTCAGCAGCTTCCAGTGCTAGAGCTCCAGATCTTCACCTCCATCTATAGCCTCTCATATTAGTTAAAATACATCTACAATGTGAATGGTATCTCCTTAGTAATGGTGCTCTTGAGCAGTGCACAACCTGAAGAACTGTATACAGTGGCCTTGCCTTCCGAGACTGGTTTCCAGAAATGAGTGACCTTCATGTAGGTGGTAGAGAGGTAGCTAATGCCTGGCCAGATTCTCCCCTTCCCCTCCTCATGGAGCAGTATAGTGTCATGTTTGATCACATAGATTCTGGAGTCAGACTCCCCACTCCTCTCAGTTAAGATCTCAGTTCTACTTTTTACTGGGAAAATGACATGGATCAGGTTACTTTTTCTCTTTAAACCTAGTTTTCCTAATCTGTTAAACAGGAGAAAATAGCACCTATCTCATAAAGTTATTATGTGGATCAAATGTGATAATCCATATAATTCAAAGTTCTTAGCATGCAGTTAATTTTCATTAAACATTAGCTGAGAATATTATTAGCTTGGCTTGTAGCAAAGGAAGCAGGTGTTTTATCATGATCAAACTCTCAAAAAAAAAATGCCTTCGACGGTTTTCTTCCATTCAAGTGTCCCCTCCCTCCCTCCCTCCCTCCCTTCCTTTTCCTTTCCATTATTTTGGCATTTGAAAGATAAAAAATTCATCAATTTGTCTAGGGACACTTCTGAATTAAATTTATATTCTTAAGTAAACATTTGTCAAATTTTCACTATTTTGTAAATGTTGCTGCCATTTGCATCCTTAAGGTCATATTTTTCTGTTTTACCTACTTCTGAACACTTTGAAGACTTTTTGATTACAGAAACCAAAAATTATAGTAAAGTACAATTAATTGTAATGCACTGGTCCAGTTTCCAGAGCACTTTCTCAGAGCCATGAAGTCCCTTCTCTGAAGCTTTATGGAGGAGAAAACTCCATACTGGCTGCTTCTCTTGGGGGTACAATTGAATTTGCTTATCCAGCACAAAGCCCCAGGGGCTTCTTTACATATATATATGACACTATAACCTGATTTTAGGCCCTAGACTCTGGAATCAGGCTTTGACCAGACATCAAATCTGGGAAGAGCTTTGTCCATTCCCTGTCCTCCAGCTCCCACCTCCAATCCCCCAGTTTGCAAA